>NC_000002.12:28131872-28284622 GCF_000001405.40 Homo sapiens | reverse complement strand
CATAGCTCTAGAGAATCTACGGTCAAATGGGGTCCTGCAGCCAAACCGGACCACAGATCAGAAAAAGATCTGAACAGAGAGGAAGCCTGATGAAACCTCGGTCAGACAGTTTTTCCTTTGTGCTTTGATCATGCAATATTCTCTCCATTCTCATAGGTGCTTTCTTTAAGATAAAGGCTCTTTCTTTTTTTGCTAACCAATTTATTTGTGAGTGTTTTTTTTTTTTTAAAGACCCACAATATAATCAATCTTTGTATATTTAGGATTACCTCTTTGGCCTGTGAATTGTCCAGCTTTTTGTTTTGTTTTCTTGCTACTGTTTTCTGACTAGCTCCTTGGTCATTACTTCTTCTATGAGCATGGGTGGGACAGGCAGCAGGGGAATGGAAATTAATGTTCCTCTTTGATAGCAATTCTGATTAGAAATTTCATTTGAGATAAAGGTATGATTGCTGCCTAAAATACTGTTTTTAAATTGTCATATTATTCTGAAATTTAACTAACTCAAAGAGAATAAACTGTGCAAACATAAGGTGATCATGTTGAGGCAAGCCCTTGACTTGAGTGAGTTGCCTGACTTGTACATCCAAATTTAAAGGAATAAGATACTTTTCAATCAAAGGTATTGAATCATTGTTAATCCGAAGAAAAGCATGCATATTCACAGTCAGTAAACCATTTCTGACAGCTGTGCTTTCCAGATAACTGGGGTTTGTTTTTGAAAGCTCTAAAACTTTTATTTTTCATTGTTTTTGATAAAAATCTCTATAAAATGGACCTTACATTTACTGCTCCCCTATCCCTTTCTAAATGACTCAAAGTCAAATTTAAGAATATCAATACTGATAGTGGGCCATACAATTGTGACACCAAGGCCTAATCAGACACGCCAGTCCCTAAGCTAAGTGTGGCCTATATCTGTAGTTTCCTGGTTCCCTCCACACCTACCTCCTGGGCCCAGGCTATTAGGTTACTCTTCTTGTACTCTTACAAGGTTAGTGTATCTATGTACCACAGACCTTCTCTGGGTAGTTAAACTGCAAGGGACTTGAAACAAACTAACAAGTAAACAAACAAACAAAACACAGAATGTTCCAAGGGACTTGGGAACCAGCCACCAAGTTTACTAGAAGGCGAGAGCCAGGCCTGAGGGTGAAATACAGAGAAGTGGTGACCCTCTTGAGTTACTTCCTCTGGCTATCTTTTGACAAGTGTACTTACAGGGTGTACTGTAGCTAGGTGAGACATTTACTTAAAAATCTCTGAGTCTTGTCATAACAGAGGATATACTTGCTAAAGCACAGTTCAAAAAGGAGCCCAAGAAATCAACTCTCCGTTTTACAAATGAGATTACGCTATAGAGTGGTGAACTGCCTCAACTGCTTCAGCAGCCACAGAGAGAAGCCCAGGGTCTTGATTCCAAGCCCAGTGAGGTACATACACACTACAAGGCCACTGTATTTAACAGTACATCTCCCTGCAGGAACACAGTAACTGCCACTACAATAGCTGTACGACTTTGGGTTACTGATTCATCTGTGCTTGAAAGATCTCTTACTACAGATAATAGTTAGGCATGGGGTTTTTTGTTTTGTTTTCATTCCTTTTTTTTTTTTTTTTTTTTTGGGACGGAGTCTCGCTCTGCTGCCTGGGCTGGAATGTAGTGGTGTGATCTTGGCTCACTGCAACCTCTGCCTCCTGGGTTCAGTGATTCTCCTGCCTCAGCCTCCCGAGTAGCTGACATTACAGGTGCCCACCACCATGCCCAGCTAATTTTTTGTATTTTTAGTAGAGATGGGGTTTCACCATGTTGGCGAGGCTGGTCTTGAACTCCTGACCTCGTGATTCGCCCACCTCGGCCTCCCAAAATACTGGGATTACAGGCATGAGCCACCGTGCCCGGCTATAAATACTTTCTTAATGCTAAGAAAAAGGAGGAAAATCAGCATTTATTGAATACCTACAATGTGCTGGATACTTTCTGCCATATGATTCCCCCTCGCCCCTTTCTACTAGGAGTAAGCCTGGCTTTGGGCAAGCCAGAGAACTTGAAGCTGTGAGGAGATGGGGCCAGGATTCGACCCTGCCTGCTGTGTCTGGAGCCCATGCTGTATCTACAAGTGCTATAAATGTGATTTACTGCTTGTTTCTGACATTGTGGAAAGAGCTTCTGCTTGGGCATTTTGGCTGATCTACCATTTCAGCCAGGGGTTGCTATAGGCAAGCACATCTCTGGCTGTTGATCAAGAAAGCACAAAAGTCTGAGAGATTGATAAACACAGTCGTTTTGGACCAGAGGAGGAGTATGATGTCTGTCTTTCAGACCAAGTTAAGCTCAAGGGCATGATGAGCTCAGACTTTTAAGAATTTTTATTTTTGATGTTTCCATGTCCTTGTTTTCTTCCTTTTGGTTGGGAAAACATCTTACGGTTATATCTACGGGGTTTTAATGGCATCTGACACTGTTGCTCACTTCTGTTCTTCTCCCATGGTTTCCACAACACTGTATTGATCTGCTACTTTTCTTCCTTTTAAATTTTTTACTGCCTCTTTTTCTCCATCTGCTTAACATGCCCTCACTCCCAAAGCTCAGCTGAGGGACCTGTTAAGCCTGAAGGCTTGGCACTTCAGCACTTCCTTTTCAGAAAGTCTCATCTGTCAGTAACCTTTGAAGCCTTCAAAATCTCCATATCCTTCCCTGACTGCTCACCTCTGCTCCAGTCTGATAATTTCAGAGGCCTGGAGGATGTCCTCATATAAACTTTACAGGTCAAATGTGTATTGTCTCATTTGTGTCTTCAAGATGGGCATACCATCCCATTCACAGACAAGAACGCTGAAACTCAGGAACACAAAGTAGCTTGTTTAGAATTAGTTAAGTGACAGAGCTGGCCTTGAATTCAAGCCTTCAGATGTTAAATCCAGTGGCTCTGATGCCACTAGAATGTTCTGGTACTAACTGGAGAAGAATTATACTACACGTCCGAAATAAAAGTTACAACCTGCTCCCCATTCACCATCAGATTGGGTCTAATATTCTGCCAAATGCAAAACCTTTGAGTCACTTTGAGTACTCTTCATTCTGCTGCTTCCATCTCTGGAAAGGCTCCCATTCTGAAGAGGACAGGACAATATCCTGCTGGGAGGAGACTGGTGGGGCTCGGGGGGGTCACATTTACTTCCGCCATGGATAAACAGAATGGGAATGTATATTTTTTAAAGTATTGACCTATTTCATACAGCAAAATATACTTTTGGTTAATCCTAAATACCAATCACATCACACCAATTCAGTAAGCTTTGTCTACCTCCAAGAATTGTCCTTCTATCTGTCCTACACGTGGAGGCCAGTTTAATTACCTTAATTGTGCCCCTTGTCCTCCTCCATAGGGACCAGCCCAGGTCTCCTGGATAAAAATACAATCCTTGAATGCCGGTGGGGGCAGCCCAGGGGAGGCCTAGGTAGCCTTTCCTTCTAAGGTGTGGTATAGCCCATCAAGCTCAGGTTAAAAGACTAGGGATTGAATAAAGAAGTTGAAGTTCATATACACAGAGCATTTAAGGACAGATGAAAAAAATCAGATTGGAAATAAAAGAGAAAGGAAAGTTCCAAAGGGCTTTAAAATAAAGTACCTTAACCCTGGCCACACTGCAGCAGAGCCTGATGTGGACTCAACAGCTAACCCCTTCTCATTCAGCCTGCCTGCTACTCTCACAATAAAACAGCTGCTCTCACTGCCCCCCCGCCTTACTCATGACCCCTCACCAACACTCTGTGATGGAAATCTCTTTGTTTCTGGAGGCCAAATGGCTCATTCTAGATTAATTATTATTGGTTCCATGGAAAAACAGGTTTGGTTCATTACACGTTCAACTTGCTAAGTCACCGCTTGACCTTAGCTCAGAAAAACCTTAGCTCATAGAAGAGAAATCTGCAAAGTAGTGCCTGAGTAGGCACCAGCACGGATCAGGAGGAGGGATGTGTGAACCCCAGGTCTAGAGGAATATTTTACTAAGGAGTGTCATATTTTTATATGCACACACATCTGTATCTAACTATATCTGTGTATGTGTGTATGTATTTGGTTTAAAGAGCAGAGCAGTTTAAGACTTGTACAAAAAGAGAGTTGTTTGTCTGAAACTCAAAGAAGGTGACCATGAGTATTCTTGACCATGGGACTCTAGACCACTGAGAGTTAGAGCAACTTTTAGCATGTTAAAGAATGACCTGTGGGATTTTTAAATACTTAAAAATCAGTTATGAGGCTGGGCTCAGTGGCTCACACCTGTAATCCCAGCACTTTGGGAGGCTAAAGCAGGATTGCTTGAGCCCAGGGAATTTGAGACTAGCCTGGGCAACATGGCAAGATCCCATCTCTACAAAAAATAAAAAAAAATGTGCTGAGTGTGGTGGCCTGTGCCTGTAGTCCCAGCTGCTTGAGAGGCTGAGATGGGAGGACTGCTTGAGCCCAGGAGGTCAAGGCTGCAGTGAGCTGTGTTCAAACCATTGCATTCTAGCCTGGGCAACAGATCAAGACTCCGTCTCAAAAAAAAAAAAAATTAGTTATGATTTGATATGAGACTAGGACCAAATGCGTTCTTATAAGTCAAATAAGAAAAGGTATGTGAGTTTTTACATTTACTTAAAAAGCCTCTGCCGGGCGTGGTGGCTCATGCCTGTAATCCCAGCACTTTGGGAGAGGCCAAGGCAGGCAGATCACCTGAGGTCAGGAGCTTCGGATCAGCCTAACCAACATGGAGAAACCCCATCTCTACTAAAAATACAAAATTAGCCAGGCGTGGTGGCGCATGCCTGTAAATCCCAGCTACTCGGGAGGCTGAGGCAGGAGAATCGCTTGAATCCAGGAGGCAGAGGTAGCGGTGAGCTGAGATCATGCCATTGCACTCCAGCCTGGGTAACAAGAGTGAAACTCCATCTCAAAAAAAAAAAAAAAAAAAAAAGCCTTTGAGCTGCCCTGTCTGCACTAACCCTTATGGTAAGGGGTAAGGAGTTTGAATACAGAAGTTGGGGATTTCGAGATGAAGCAAAAATGAACTCTGCCTCAGAGGGCTCATCATTTGGGAAAGTCAGTAAACAAAATAATCCCAATATAGTATGAGAAATGCTAAAACAGGAGGCTGCACGAAAGGCTGCTGGGATTTGGAGGAAGGACTGACTGGCTCCTACTCAGGCTTTATTTTGTTTCATACTGTGCCATTTTTATTTAGGAGATAATCAAAGTGGAGATAACAAAAAGCAGCTCACAAGATGGATGGCCCTGCTTTGCTGATGTGCATCACTGCTGAACTGCCTGGAGGTTTCCGGCTGACGAAACCTCAGGTCCAAGGGTAACTCTAGGCTTCACCTCCCAAGCCGCCTATTCACCTGGTGGTGGCAGAGAAAGCAAAAGGCAAACTCCTCAGTGGCTCCAAGGGGCCACTCAGGCAGCAGAACCTCTTTGCTCAGAGGAAGCCGAACTCCATACCAAGGAATTCCAACCTCTCTTCCACCGGCTCCTTCTCATCATGCTGAAGGTTCTCTCATCCTGTAAAGCAGCCTCTTGACTATCATCCCTACTAGCTATTGCCCATTTACTCTTCTTTTAATTCCCCAAATTCTCAAAAGAGGACGGGCTCACCTTCACTGTGAATGAATTCTGTGGCCCATTCACATCTGGCTTCCGCCTACTCTAAGGCATGAGTGTTTCTTTTTCTACACCATCAATGGGCACCATCATTACTGAAGCAAATGCTTTTCATGCTCCTCTCCCTTGTCACCTGCACCTCCCCAGATCCGGTCCTCTGCTGCCTTCGTGGTGCCCTCTCTCCTGGTTCTCATCTCACCCCTCTGCTGCTGATTGGTCTCCATCAGGAATCTTCAGCCCATCGCCAGCTGCTGGCCTTTCCCAGATCTGTTTTCAGTCCCCTCATATCACAGATTCATCCTGTGGGAATTCTACCAGCTCTGTGGCTTCTACTGCCACCACTTTAGTCTCACAATTTTGGCTACTTACTGAATATCTCCATCTGCTTATCACATAAACACCTCAAACTCAATATATTCAAACTCACTCACTTTCCTCCAGATTCTGGTACTCTTAAAATTTCCACTCTTTCCTTAGCTACCCTAGCTAGGAGTTATACAGTAATCTGCAATTCCTCCCTCTCCCTCACCTCCAAAATCTGAGTGTTCACCAAGTCCTTTTGATTCTACTCTGAAGTATTTCTAGAATCTCTCCTTTCCTCTTCCTCCCTATTCCCACTGTTTCAGTACCTCATATTATCTTTCCTGAACCAGTTTCCCAAGTGGTTTATCAAACCCCAGCTTCTTCCACTTGAATTCATCCTCCCCTCTGCCATTGGACTTACAGTATAATAGAGAAAATGCCACATCCCTGTTCAAAATACTCCCAAAGCTTTCCATCAGTAATAGGATATATTTTGAACGGTGTATATAAAAGGGTCTTTATAACTAGGTGCATTTCTTTCCTGTCTCATCTCCACATTATTTCCTTAACTCACTTATCCTAAAAATCAGATTTTATGAATTATTCCCAATATTTGGAATGGATTGCATCAGCCCACGAATACACTGTTCTCTCTGCCTTGGACATCCTTTCCTCTTTATCTACCTACCAGATTTCTAATTGCACTTCCAAGACTGAGCTCTAGGACATATGTGTAAAACCCTTCTGAGGGGGTTTCTACACATGTATTATGGCATTTTCCACGCAGTGTTTGCATGCCTGTCTCCCTTACCCGAGTACAAACTCCTTAGTGTAGCTATCCATTTCTGTGACCACATGGCTTAACCTAGACGTTGGTCCATAGTAGATACTCAAATGTTTGCTGAGTTGACTTGAAGGTACACAAGGCTTTTCTCCTTAACAATAGGACCAGACTTTAACCTCTGCATGCCCGAACGCTCTTGGTAATAGTGCTACAGACATAGCAGGTGAGGAACAAAACAGTCAGCTGGTTACGGAGGCAACCGTGAAGCACCAGAAGTGGTTAAAAGCAGCTGTGAAAGGGCAGGCATGGGGCGGGGTACTCTTGCTTTTCATTATACATCTTTGTGAAGTATTTGCTTTTGCAACCATGTCCATGTTTCTTTGGCAAATATAATAAACAAAATCCTTTGTTGGTTATGAATAATCTATTGATGTGTCTGCAAACTACAAGGGACCACTTTCCATATATTTAAAAGGACAGATTATGGGCCGGGAACAGTGGCTCACGTCTGTAATCCCAGCACTTTGGGAGGATGAGGCTGGAGGATCACTTGAGGTCAGGAGTTTGAGACCAGCCTGGCCAACATGGTGAAACCTGTCTGCACTAAAAATACAAAAATTAGCTAGGTGTGGTGGCGGGCACCTGTAGTCCCAGCTACTCGGGAAGCTGAGGCAGGAGAATCGCTTGAACCCAGGAGGCAGAGGTTGCAGTGAGCCGAGGTCGCCCCACTGCACTCCAGCCTGGGCGATGGAGCCAGACTCTGTCTAAAAATAAATGAATAAATGGACAGGTTACGTTCTGAGGCTTAACTCCAAACAGGCTATGTCATCAGTGTGTGTCAGTGACGAGGGAGATAGCCAAGCATGAGGCTGCACGGGGAGGGTCACTAGGCCAGCAGAGCCCTGCGCCTCAGAACAAAGCAATGGCCCTGCACAGAGAACATGGGCTCACTCTGCCGTCTGCTAATGTGTAAAGATAATGCTCATCATCTGTATGTATGTTTTGTGCAGGGTTTACTAAAAATATGAGAATACTGTAGGAAAACATGATTTTATTCCTTCTAACCCCTAACATACGTAAAGAGTGAAGGAGATGAAGCCTTTGCAAGCTATTTCTGCCAGCTTATGAAAACTAGAATTTTAATATTTTAGGCAGAAGATTTTCATATATACGAACACATATATGTACATGTATTTGGTTAAAGGAAGTGGGCCTTAGTGCTGGGGCATCCAAGTGTAGAAAGGGTGAGGCTGAGATTTCTATTGAGGACAATTTAGTACTTGGGTTGTGAGCCAAACACGAAGAAGGTGGGCACTGTGATGTGTACCAGCAGGCTCAATGGGCACGTTACCCAGCGTGGATCACAGGTCGATTCTTTCAAAGGCCAGAGATGAAGATAAATCAGTCTTTGCTAAAAACATCCCACGGCTGCGCGTTACAAAGGCATATTTTGCTTCAGTATGTAATTTCCTCACTACTTAACTATAAAAGTGTATCAGAATTGAATTCTAGGGCTTTTTCTAAATGAGAGCTGAGTCACAGGTATCTCGGTGCTGTGTCTGCAGACTAAAGTGGATGACTCACATCTGTAAAATTCTGAGAGAAAGTACCAACCGACCCCTTGCTTAGTCATCTTTTGCATGGATGCTGGGTTCATGAGCTCTGTAAACTATAATGAGCGATCTAGCCTTTTACCATCTCTTTATTCTTTTCTAAACAGTACAAATTACATCTCTAAAAATAACTTCATCTACGCAAGTGAGTCACTTCAACCTAACAAGCTTCCACAAGTTACTCAGCTAAATTGTACTATTTACTGTGAAGGTAAAAATCTTGTTGTCATATTAGTCCCATTTTTTTCTTTCTTTCTTTTTTTTTTTTTTGAGATAAAAATTTGGTAGACTTGGAAAAGGGAGGAGGTTTCAGCAAATGTTTTAAAAAACATATGATTTACTCCTAACCTCTCACATGGGCAGGGGTTGTGATGGGGCTGGAGGAAGGAATTCTTTGAAAACTATTTCTAACAGCGCATGAAAATCAGAATTTTAATATTTCAGGCTGTAGCTTAAGCAAAGACTCTGCAATTTTCTTTGTGTGAGCCCATGCGTAAGCTGTCCTCTCTGCGGGATGTTTATTGGCTGTTGGAAGAGATATATATCAATAATTCTATTTGCTTTAAAATCCTGATCTGTGAAATTATGACATTTTTGACGAGAGACCCAGCCACGCTAATAAATGCATATGTATTAAATACTAATCTTTGCTCTTCCAGGAGCTGATCACTCACCACACCCTGAATTCTCTAGACACACAACTAAGCTTTGGTACTCCACCCGTTTACTGTGTAGCTTTCCAACCCCGAGGCCTGCCTGCTGGTCTTTAGCTTGCCTTTCCTGGCCTGGCATTGTCAGCTCTCAGCAGCCCCACCCCAGGCCTATCCCAGTTAGGCAATAGGTACAATGGAGGCAAGAGCAGGTGACCTGCATGAGGCTTATACCTTCACAACCTGGGCAGCAATACTGAAATATCAAAGCACTGTTAATCCACACTCTAGCCTCAGTCAAAGTGGACTAGAAGGATTTCTCATTCATGTTTGGCCAGGAATGAAATTACTAATACCAACAGGCCTAGAAAGTTTCCACTGCTGTTTCAGCTTCTCCTTTAAGACATCAGATCCGTTGGCTTCATCCAAATGGCCACGTGAACAACCTTTCCCTGTGCATGGGGGTGCTTTAGAAGAGGAAAATGAAATCACTGGTCCATCTGAAAATTCCCCAGGAAATGGACTGCAAAGCCTACTTCCTGACTCCAACGAAGGCAGAGGCTGAGTCATCTAATCCCTCCCGACTAGTATTCACTTGACTTGCACCAAGTAGGTCAGCTGGAGTCGTCTGAATTCTGCTCTCTGTCCTCGTAAGCAGCCACCCCCTGCAGTGGAGCTACTGGAGCATGCTGGGTCTGGTCTCTTCTGCGAGGTCTTCACTCAGCCTCAGCCCACAAAGTTGATGTTACATAACCTCTCCTAAGTTTCTCTTTTCTCATTTGCAAAATGGGAAGAGTCACACCATTTACCTCTCAGGGCTGTGACGATGAAAAGGGACACTGTACATGCAAGTGCTACACAGACTTCAAGGTGCTCTGACCACTCAGCTCTCCCATTTCAGCAAGTGGTTACTGAGCTCTTGTCTAGTGCCTAACACCGGGCCAGGCGCTGTGCATAACAAAGAGTTAAAACATGGTTTAGAAGCCTGGGCAACATGGCAAAACCCTGTCTCTACTAAAAACACAAAAAATTAGCTGGGCATGGTGGGTGCACCTGTAGTCCCAGCTACTGGCATAGGGGGTTGAGGTGGGAGGATTGCCTGAGTCTAGGAGGTTAAGGCTGCAGTGAGCCAAGATCGCACCACTGCATTCTGGTCCTGACAACAGAATGAGATTCTGTCTCAAAAAACAAAACAAAACATGGTTTAGATTTAGTCCTGGACCTCAGTAAGCAAATTAAGCAGAATAATGAAGCAAATACATATGACAATTAAGGAACCATTCAAGATAACAGATCTCATAATTACGTTATTTGGATCAAGTGTTATTCAGGTGGGAGTGCTCGGTTAGACAGTGAAGCTGAAGACAGCTTTTAAGAAATGGTGCAAGAAAGATGAGGAGGTCAAGGAGAAAAAGCAAGAAGGGTCAACAAAGAGGCCAAGGCTGAGTGGGAGAGAAAGCTGGATGGGGAAGGTGAGCCTGTCTACTGGGGAAGGCCGCCAGATAAAGGTGGTGTCTTGAAATGATTAATGTGGTGGCAAGGCCCAAGAGCCACAGACAAACCAGCTGGCCAGTGAGCTAGTCCTGGAGGTGACAGGTTATAAGCAAGGGTGAAGGCACGGGAGTGGCAAACACAGGAATGAGTAACACCTTGCATTTCTATAGCACATGACGCCTTCCCCTTTGCTTTCATGTGATTTAATCCTCACAAACCTCCATGAGCTAGGCAGGGTAAGTGTCAATCTCATTTCACAGACGAGGAAGCTGAATCTCGGAGCCACTGCGTGGTGAGGCTGAGAAGTTAACCCAGTTTCCTGACTAAGATGGGTGCTCCTTTGACTGCCTGTGTAGCCTCCACACTTGCTGGGTATCAGATTTACCCATGAAGCTGTTTTATTTTTTATTTTTTTTGGAGACAGTCTTGCTCTGTTGCCCAGGCTGGAGTGCAGTGGTATAATCTCGGCTCACTGCAACCTCTGCCTCCCAGGTTCAAGCAATTCTCGTACCTCATCCTCCCAAGAAGCTGGGACTACAAGTCCATGCCACTACATGCAGCTAATTTTTGTATTTTTAGTAGACACGGGGTTTCACTATGTTGGCCAGGCTGGTCTCGAACTCCTGACCTCAAGTGATCCTCCCACCTCGGCCTCCCAAAGTGCTGGGATTAGAGGCGTGAGCCACTGGGCCTGGCCTGAAGCTATTTTATTAAAACCACACAAGTTCAGCAACCAATCCTCCCTAACCCCTTTCAGATTGAACAGTGGAACAGGGAGAGGAGAGAAGAGAAGAAAGGCAGGAGGTGCTCAGTCCTCAGAATCTGCCAAGGCTCTCAGGGGTTCTGACGTAGTCAGGGCATGAACCACTGCACCCACTGCACTGTACAATGTGGTACCTAAGTGGTTAAGAAGGAGAAAAGAGACGGGCAAATGAGACATCATTCCAAGGGCTGAAGCCTCAGTTCATAGAAACTGGTCTGCCATTAAAAGCTGGATGGAGCAGAAAATGTTCGGTCCGTGGAATTGGGTAAGAACTGTGCCCTAAACAGGGACGTCGTATCAGCTCCATGTGCCTGTGCTAGCTCTTATTTTTACCCTTCACAGCCAGAGTAAGAAAGTTCCACGGCATTCCAGAAGACTGGCTGCAAGCAGTGTGGCCATGGATGACTTCCTGCACTTGCCCTCCTCCAGTGAGACAGATCCCAGCCTCTCCATTTCCCAAACCTGTATCCCTCCACATGTCGTCCCAGCCACGTCAGTCCCCAGTTCAATGGCCTCTCTGTCAAGCCTTCCCCAGCTCCCTCACGCAGAGGGAGGTGCTCCCTTCTGATTCCCACAGAACCCTCGGAAGTCCCTATCCCACTGTGGGCTTTCTTGGTCTCAGAAACTTCCCTGCCAGGCAATGAGCAGCTTGACAGCAGGGACCATCTTGCATTATCCTGTACCTCTGGGATGGGACAGGCTCAATAACTGTTGGTTTACGTGGAGCCCCGCTGAGTCTTCAGTCAAACTGAAAAAGTTCTGTCCAATTCTTGACTTTCTGCTATGCTCCCACCACTCTTTGGAGCAAAAGTGAGCTTCACAGAAGTCTGAAGTCACCTTCATTTGACTGTTCTGAATTACACCAAGGTCTGAATCCTTGAGTTGAGCCAGTTCGCGTTCCTCTTATCTTGCAGCCTTTGCCTAAGCAACAGGCTGTCCCTTTTGTTATGTGGGGTTCCATCACTACTCCACTTTCCTCCTCAAAGCTACAAGTTTTAAAGGATTTTGCCTAAAGGATCATTTTCCCATGACATGTCCAAATTATTACACCCAGCAACCACATTTCTAAACCTAAAACAAAAAACTTGATATTTAATTTAGTTTTTACAACTTTTTCATGGATAAGTGTTTGATTTCTATTTGTCCTTTGAATTGAAGTTCTGAACATATTATGGTCACAGACCTTCATTGTTGCTTTTTGAACAGTAAGCTGGTCTAAATCCCAGAAGGAATCTTTTGTCTCCTCTTCATCATTCCCAGCCTCCAAAGTGGAATCTTAAAACCACCTCCTCTTGGATGCTTTCCCAAAAGAATTCTCCCAATTCTCTACCAGCCAACATAACTCTCCTTCCCCTCCCCTTCCAAAATGTATTTGTATCTACCACATCTCTCCACACATGCCAACTGAAAGTTAATGCTCTTGAAGGTAGGAACCACCTCTACATTCCACCATGTGCCTAGAACTGACGGAGTAATCATCTGGGATAATTAAACATTACTGATTGGTATAAATGTCATGAGCTGAGGGTAATTACCAAGCTTGAGCATAAATGCATACATAAAATGAAACTGAAACTTGAGAACTTGTTTTAAATGTACAATTTTGAAACTGATAAGCAGAGTCTTTCTGTATTGTACCATATTGTTAACCTGCCTGGTTGGCCCTTTCCCTTTTAAGTAATGACTCCATAAAGGATGGATTTGGGGTGATACATGCCTTCTATATTTATCCAAAATCCTTTTCAAAATCATGAGACTGCCTCTGGTTTAATATGTCAATGGAATATTCACTGTAAAGGGCATGGATATTTAAGAGGGTTGTTTCCTTTACAATGTGTGGACAGAGCTCTCAAAATTTCTTTCTTTGAAAAAGAAAACTAGAAATTATTTGAAGACTGTGACAGAGTCATGTCACTGGAATTGGAAGCACAGCTGTCCCTGTGAGGGCCCAGGCCACGAGGAGAGGAAATCATGTTGGTTCACTGACTGGCTGGGGAATCCTTGAAGGAACAAATCCAGGGTGCAGCAGGAAGTTGCCTGGGTGGGAGGTAGTGGCTCTTGTCCAGCCTGAGGCCTAATCAAATCAAACACACTCGACCACCTTGCATTTACAAAAATCTCCTCTATTTGGGATGCTGGGTGAAAATCCTAAGACCTTACACCTGTGTGCTTCTGAAGACGTCCATATATGTGAAGCAGCTGCCTCCTTTTATCTCAAACACTGCCAAACACCTTAGACATCCCACTGAGAGCTAGCTATGTGCTTATGGACAGCTATCTTCCAAACTGGGAAGAACCAAATAAGACACGCTATAGCCTTTTGTTTCTCCAAGGCTCTGGAACATATTCTGTACACATTAACTCGGTGTGCCTGCATCTCATGTAGACCTGCCTCCTGAATCCCAGGGAAGAGGGCAAGATCATATCAGTATAAGGATCAAGAAACACTAGCATTACATCACTGTGTGAGTAAGATAAAGCAAGGCAGAAGAGAAAGAGCTGCATTTGAATTTGGACATTTGAGAACTGGTTTAAATTTGGTTCTGCATTTACCACCTGTGGGATCTTAGGCAAGTCACTAAACCTCTCTGCTATAGAACGGCAATCATGACTTTTATGTTGCAGTGTTTCATAAATAACAACTATTAGTGTGATCTGGATTCAGGGCTGAGGCTCTTCTGTAGAAACAGCAGAAGATAGCAACAGACTGAAGGAATAGTCATGCCATCTGGGTGAACAGCAGGTCGACTCTTGGTTCAGGAAAGACGAAGGTGGTATGTGGTTCAGGTACAGTCAAATACACGACCAATAGCAGCAGCAGCCATAACTCTCTCCAAAACATAAAGACCACACAGAGTGTGCACATAGGTGCCAGACACCACTACTTAAAGAGCTTGTTCCTAGGCCTGCTCCTTTTTAAAGAGATAATTTAATTTTAAGTTTCATGAGGGGCCAGGCAAAGTGGCTCATGCCTGTAATCCCAGCACTTTGGGAGGCTGTGGCAGGATGAATGCTTGAAGCCAGGAGTTTGAGACCAGTCTGGGCAACAAAGCAAAACCCTGTCTCTACAAAAAATAAAAAATCAGCTAGGTGTGCTGGGACGTGCCTGTAACCACAGCTACTCAGGAGACTGAGGCAGGAGGATGGCTTGAGTCTAGGAGTTTGAGGCAGCAGTGAGCTATGATTGCACCACTATACTCCAACCTGTGTCAAAGAGCAAGACCCTGTCTCTTAAAAAAAAAATTTCATGAGGGAGGGACCATATCTTATTCAAGTACCTGATACAGTGTTTGGCCCAACAGGTGTTCAATAAAATAATTTCTAATAAAATTATAATAATAGGCTTAACCCTGTTTCTCAGCATAGAGTAAAGGAAATAGAACACAGGCTATAAATAATGTCAAGACAATATGCCTTCCAGCATTTTCCTAATATGTATAGTTGGCCAAGTACTACTAAGTACTATCAGTCAAATACTATTAGAGCTCCTGATGTCATTGTCAATGTAAAAAAAAAAAAATGACAAGAAAAAATCCAAAATATCTCAAGATTATTTCTATTGAATAGCCTCAGTTTGTTTCTAATCTTTCCACAGCCCATGTTCACATCTGTGGCCTCCCTTTTATGGGCTCTGGAGCTGTAAATCTGAAAGAAGACAGATAAGGTAGAAACCTTGTTAAACAAAATCCTCATCAAAATGACAAACATTCAAACAGGAGTGGCCTGCCTTTATCTCCAGTTACCACCCAGTTTGGATGGAGTCTGTTTCCCTTTTACAAAAGGTTTGCTGTATGAGAAGGGAACATTTTACCCAAGAGACCGAAAGTCACTCCCAACTAGGTATTTCCCAAAGGAGTTGTACTGTATGTTCCAGAGTGCAGCTGCTGAGCTAACTATCTGGGTTGCAATAAAATGTCTTGATTTTTATCCATGGTTGGACAGATTGAGTTTTCTGATAACCCCAGTCCATTTCCCTAGAAATGCAGGTATGTATCCACATGCTGACTCATTCCGGGTGCAGAGAGCACAGAGTCTCTACAGAGGGTGGAGACTGCAAAGGCGAATACTTCCAAGATGGAGAGGAGAAGGGGGAAGGGAGAGAGCAAGAAAAAACAACCTAGAGGAGTGTTCTGGATTGACTATTTACAGACAGTTTGCCAGCAACAGATAAGGGATGGATCAGGGCTGGCAACCATTACTGGGGTGGTTTCTTTGGGTCTTTTAAGATAAAAGAGATTTGATATGTTTATTAAGTAATGTGGTTACCCTGGAAGCTGGGCATGTACTTCTCGTGATAACTGTATAGCAATTACTTCTGTTGGTTACAAGCCTCAGCTTTTGTTTGCTGAAATGTTAGATTTGGTTATATCTTTGTAGGTATGAGATACTTTTAAAGGGATAGTGTTTAGTAAATTTAGATATGTAAAACTTGCCTTTCATTGGCAAGGATCACAATAACAGCTTTGTAGGATTTCTCCGCAGACAAATAATCTCTACAGTGGACCTCAAGACTTCATACTAGGATTCTGAAGATGATTGAGTCAATGGATGAGTGTAACGAACTTTTGGAAACTTCAAGGCAATTAAAGGAAACTGCAGGAGGACCAGAAAAGATCAAGACCAGGGCACGAGGGCTGATCCAAACAACGGGGGCCGGCATTTGTGATCTTGGGTAGAGCCACCCCAGTGTGGGTCAACTCCACAGCATTAGGAAAACCAGTTTATCAGAATTACCTTCTCAAGCAATAGATCTGTTCCTTGTCACATTCTTAGAACTAATAAAGACTTATCTTTATTACTACTAATTATAATGTTTTGGTTCATTCTTTTAAAAATTATGCAATATGTGACACATACCAAAGAATACTTGTAATACACACTTAAGGTCTGAAACACAGCAGAAAAACAGAACATGACTGAATCTATGCTCCCTCTCAGAACAAAGACATGAGCCACAAGCTGAAGCGACCTTGCCATCCCTCTCTCTCCATTGTCTCCCTGCCTCTCTCTCCAGAGATAATCACTGTCCTAAAATGCCTGTTTATCACTCCTTCATTTTTGTTTGTTGTTTTTTAGAGACTGAGTCTTGATAGGCTAGACTCAATTTCTAGGCTCAACGTATCCTCTTGTCTCAGCCTCCCCAAGTAGCTGGGACTATAGGCATGTGCCACTGCGGCCAGGACACCTTCACTTTTTTAGAAACATGGCTTTAATGCAGATTTCTATATCCCTAATAAATAAATGGACAGATTGTCTGGTTTTGCTTGTTTTTGAGCTCTTTATATAAAAATTCTATCGTGTGTCTCCTGGAACTTGCTTTTTTCAGTCAATATTAGGGTTCTAAGATTTCGTCTTTATTGTGTATAGATACAGTTTGTCATTTTCACAGTTGTATAATAATGTAAATTTGACACTATTTATCCATTCCTCTGTCAGTGAACATTTGGGTTTTTGGGTTTCTTCTAGTTTCAACTACAACTAGAGATACTGCCATGATTATTCTTGAACATGTGCTCATCAACAATTTTTCCTTTTTCTCCTAGGCATACCCAAACAAATTTCCCAGCCTTCCTGCAGTGAGGTGGAGCCAAATGACTAAATTCTGTGTGTTGGAGAGATAAATGCCACTTCTGGGCCTGACCCCTATGGCCCCTGCCATGCTGGCCTGAAGAAGAGGGTGCAGTGGAGGATGCTGAGGCCATAGGGAATGGTGGAGCCATTAGACAGAGAAGCTGGTCCCAGAACTTCTGCAAGAAGCAGAGTCCTCCTTTCATCCATAATGACCACCACTGAATTGACAGCACAGGAAATAAAACGTTACTGTGTTAGCCACAGAGACTGGGGGTTGCTTGTTATAGGTGTTAGACTTTCCTGATAAAACCACCATTTCAAAATACATTAAAAGTGTGTGTGTGTGTGTGTGTGTGTGTGTATGTGTGTGTGTGTCTAGTCAGTGTAAATGAAGCAACAGCTGGGCCTGGGGGTGGGCTCTGCCTCCTGCATTTATGGGGGAGTGAGGGACTTGTGGAGATAAAAGCACCAGGAGGGATCCTCCTAGTGGAGTTGTTCTGCCTCTTGATTGTGTCAATGTCAGTATCCTATCCTGGTTGTTGATATTGTACTACAGTTGTTCAAGATGATACCACTGGGAGAAAGTGGGTGAAGGGTACATAGGATCTTTGTATTCTTTCTTTCTTTCTTTCCTTCTTTTTTGGAGACAGAGTTTCACTCTTGTCACCCAGGCTGGAGTGCAGTGGCACAATCTAGGCTCACTGCAACCTCCGCCTCCCAGGTTCAAGCAATTCTCCTGCCTTAGCCTCCCACGTAGCTGGGATTACAGGTGCCTGTCACCACACCCAGCTAATTTTTGTATTTTTAGTAGAAATGGGCTTTCACCATGTTGATCAGGCTGGTCTCGAATTCCTGATCTCAGCTGATCCACACGCCTTGGCCTCCCAAAATGCTGGGATTACAGGCGTGAGCCACTGCACCCAGCCTTTTGTACTATTTCTTACACCTACATGTGAATCCACAATTATCCCAAAATAAAAAGTTTTAACAACCATGAAAGACTTATATGGTAAATATGGAGAAGTATTAACAAAACTATGGAAGGCAGTTCCTCCTTTGTTTTTGGAAAACAGAAATAAAGTGGCATCAGGTACAGAGGACAGTCCTTAGACCCAGGCGTGTGACAATGCCAACCTTTTACCCTTGGTTTCCTTACCTTAAAAACAAGGACAATACCTGTCCTACCAACTTCATGGGGCTTGGGGAAGATCAAATTAAATAAGATGATAAATGGGAAAGTACTTTGAAATACTATAAGATCTTATCACTAACAATGAAGAGACATTTCTAATAACACTTTGGGAATGACAGAGGATACTATCAATCCACTTACATTTATGAATGAAGAAGAGCTGCAAAGCTGCAGGTGCTGAGCCTTTGAATTAACTCAGTGACCAAGATGGAGGGGAGGTTAAGAACTGCACATCCATGGCAATAAAATATCAAAAGCACTTGCTGCAGGTGCAGATAAGGTATGTAATATGCTACTTTTCAAGTCAGAAAGAAGAAAGGTGGCTGGGTACGGTGGCTCATGCTTGTAATCCCAACACTTTGGGAGGTCCAGGCAAGCAGATAATCTGAGGTCAGGTGTTTAAGGCCAGCCTGGCCAACATGGCGAAACCTCGTCTCTACTAAAAATACAAAAAACTTAGCCGAGCGTGGTGGTGTGTGCCTGTAATCCCAGTTACTTGGGAGGCTGAGGCATGAGAATCACTTGAATCCAGGAGGTGGAGGTTGCAGTGGGCCAAGATAGTGCCATTGCTCTCCAGCCTGGGCAACATAGTGAGTCCCCATCTCAAAAAAAAAAAGAAGAAAACTAAGAATATGTACTTATATTTATTTTATTTACATAAAGAAACTCTGAAAGGCCTAATTAAAAAAACTAACACAAGTGACGAGAAGAACAAGCCAGACTGGGAACAGGTGGGGATGGGACTTTGCCTATTGTGTATTTAAAAAATTAGGTGAATATATTGCAGATTCAAACAATAAAATTAAAAAATTGTTAAAGGTACATTCTTAGAGAGAGTCCCTATGTTTTGTATGTGGGGTGGGGAGGGGCAACTACTTTTTGTTTTTCTCAAAGGCTTAGTTCCAAGAGTAGGGAAGTTAGCTGAGTGTTATCACTAGAGTGTACGTGTGTCGTGTGTGTGTGTGCACATATGTGCATGCATGTGTATGAATAGGACTGTACATGCTGGAGAATTCTGGTCAAGCCCTACCTCTTTCCCATCCCCCAAAGCTGGCAATACCCAGGAGTCATGGAGAGGGGACTACTGGAGCAGCTACCCGCTTTTCAGTTTTCTGACCCTTAGGCCATTTTGTTTAAGAACACCAATTGATTTAATTGTGTCCTATTTATTTATTTATTTTGAGACAGAGTCTCGCTCTGTCACCTAGGCTGGAGTGCAATGGCCTGATCTCAGCTCACTACAACCTCCACCTCCCGTGTTCAAGTGATTCTCCTGCCTCAGCTGCCTGAGTAGCTGGGATTACAGGCGTGCGCCACCATGCCCAGCTAATTTTTGTAGAGACGGGGTTTTGCCATGTTGGCCAGGCTGGTCTTGAACTCCTGACCTCAGGTGATCCTCCGCCTCGGCCTCCCAAAGTGCTGGGATTACAGACATGAGCCACCGCGCCCGGCCTAATTGTGTCTTATATAGGGAGACTGAGGCTGATCTAACACACTTTATAGGGCAAAACAAGACCAGAATTAGAAGCCACAGTCCTTACTCCCACTCCTTCCCTGTGCCCACTGGTCAGTACACCCTTGGGTCAAATGTGGATTGAAAAACTAATGCTATCTCTGAGTAGCAAAGTTAAGTCTGGGTTGTTTCAAATGACTTTCTAGTTGTTAAAACAATCAAACTTGAAAAGCTGAAATCAAGAAGCAATTCTTTCAGATTGTGTTGGTTTTCTGAAGCCCCCATGACCTCTGGAATAATGAAAACAATGAATGATGTTGGGGTAAACTGTCTTTGAACGTTAGCATGTAAAGTCTTTGTGTTTACTCTCTGTGGAGTCCACTGAGTCTGCAATCTTGGGCTGTTCACCTCCCAGAAAAATGGGTCTTTTGAAGTATTTTGTCCCCTTGGTTAGAGGCCAACTCAGCATGTTTTCATCTTCTTGTAAATACAGTGTTCAAGCACCATCCCATCCAAATGGGCTCTACCTTCTCATTGACTGGTTGTGGTGGAACAGTATGAACTGACGGTTTTGGCCCACTCCATTCTTCCAACATAAAACAAAGACTATGCCATTTGGAGATGCTTTTGTTGCGACCACAATTCATTTCTGAGGTCTCAATCAAACAAAAGCTCAAGGATAAACTTTGCAAATTCTTTTTAATTTGCCTGACATAGGAGACAGTTTATAATACAGATGAGGTTTCCAAGCATATAGCCAAATAAAAAATGAGAAATATTAGCTTAGCCAAAGAGTTTTTTTTCTTTTTTCAATACAGGGAATCTGTGTATATAAGACTGTGAGTTCCTCTAGAAAAGGAATGTCCCATTCAGTCCTATATCTTTAGTATCCAGTATGGTATCTGGCATAAAGAACATGCTTACATTCAGCTCTTACCTGGGAGTATAAAAAAGGCAAACCCCATCTCTACAAATGTTAAGTCCTATAAACTAGATAAGATTCCATGTTTAACCTGAAAGCCTAGCTGGAAAGACTAGTATGGAACTAAACTTGTATCTTTATTGGAAAACAAAGCTGAAACGAGACAATGGTTTAGAGCAAAAATTGATGGGTGGTTGGCATTTAAAAATTTGAATGTAATTGCTAGTTCTCTGGCCTCAATCACACTGACGGATTCCTTTTGGCAATTATCTTCACTAGGCTTGCCTGTATGCAAAGTTTCTCATTACTGGCAGGTACTGTGGTTTCCCTGGAGACGGGGGAATTGTTAATCCACCTTTTCAACACTGGGAGAGTTCAAAAGACTCATAGTACAAAGAGAAAGTTCCACAGTTGGGAGCATCAGAGGTAACACTGGGGAGCCCCGTAGCACCTCATTTGCAGAAAGTAACTAGAAATTAGGATCCCTACCCACCACGTGCTCTGAGGTTGGAATTCTGACCATAGACATGTGTAGGGTCTGGTAGATGTTACAGAAGAGACAGTACAGTTGTACTGTGCTCCCCAACTCCTTTCAAATCATGGCACTTACCCAGAAAATGGTACTATTTTATGGCACTCGAGGAAAATGGGTAAGGCTGGCAGAGGTCACTCACTGTGGGCTGCGGCTCCCCCAAGGACTGAAGAGGTCAGTAGCCTATCTGTAACCTATCCCTAACCCATCAGTGTGCCCCAGCACATGGATTGGGAAGCTTTAGTAAACTGCTAGGAACAAGAGATCTGGAATCAGATGGTCTTGGTTCAAATGCTCTGTCCTTCAGCTACTAGCTATGGGACTTCTGGCAAGTTACACTATCTGGAGGTGCTTTTTGTAAAATGGGGATAATAAGTAGCCCAACCTCACAGGGCTGTTGAGAGAATTATATGGAATTATTGTAAAGTATTTAGCACAGTACTTTGCATATAGTGAATACTCAATAAATTATATTATTTATGCATAACAATGGTATTATTATTAATAATAATAATCCCCTCCCCTCTCCTCCTCTCCTTCCTTTCTTTTCTTCTTTTTTTTTTTTTTTTGAGACAGTGTCTTGCTGTTACCTCAAATAAGTGGAATCATACCATATTTTTTCTTTCGAGAGATAAATTGCTTCACCTTTCATCTACTGGAAGGCAAGGGTTCAAGTTTAGCCACAAGTCATTCTCAGTTTAGAAGTTACTGCCCAAAGCCTCTTTCAGTACATCCTAGGTCGGGCCATCTCAGGAATTTGGATCACCTCTTTGGGAGGAAAAGTGTATCAACAAGGTTTCGAGTTCCAAGCCACTTCCTGTCCAGTGTGACATGTGACTGGACAAAAGAGTTCAGCCAGGCCAAAGAGTTCAGCATCATCTGGACTGGGGACAACCAGCAGTTTGCAGGTTGGAATGGACTCTAGGTTAAGCTGGTGAGAGCCTCCACCACACCTTTGTTCTATGTGAATGTTCTCTCATTTATTCTTTAACTGGATGTCCACAGGCTCCTAAAACTCATTATATCCCTAACGGAGCTCAACATCTCCAACTCTGTTCCTCCTAAAGTAAACCTTGCCTAAGATGATGGCATCATCAGCTACCTAGATGCCTAAAAAAGAAACCTGGGAATCATCCTATTTCTTCTCTGTCCCTCATCTTCTACTTGGGATCAATCACAGTTTTTCCAGTTCTACTTCCAATATGTTTCTTAAACATTTTTCTTCCCCTCTATCCCTACTATGACTCCTCTAGTTCAGGTCTAATCTTTTGCCTGGACTGTCTTTTTAGGTCCCTGGTCTCCATCCCAAATCATCTTTTACATAATACCTGAAAAGTGTATTCTTATAAAAGCAAATATATGCCACTTTTCTACTGAGCACTCTTCAATAACTCCTTGCTATCCTTAGGATAAAGTCACATTTGTCAGCCTCCTAGGCAACGTTATATCTGTGTTCTGCCCTCTGACTGCCTCTTTAGCTTAATCTCTTACTACTTCTTGGGATCCTCTAAACATTTAGGAGACTGGAAACCACTTTCAGTTCCTCACCTCCACTCTAAGATTTCTTCCCTCTGTGCCTTTGTTTACACCAGGCTCTCAGCTTGGAATGATCTTATGGCCCTCCTCCCTTACTGTGTTGGGTGACGCTTCACTGTATTCTCGTAACATCTGGTGTATGCCTAGAAATGCACTTTAAGTAATATTTCTTTGTTATTTTCATATGTTCATTTTCCCCACTAGATTGTGAGCTATTTCAGACAAGGTATCATTCATTCTGGTATCCCTGAGTCTTGACAGTACCGGAACCAAAGCAGGTCCTCAAATACATGATGACCGAAGGGATAAATCAATATATAAATGAATAAAGTATTGCATAGGTCAGGTCTGGAGGCCACTGGAAGGGAGGGAAGGGAAGGGGAGGGGAGGGGAGGGGAAAGGAGGAGAGGGGAGGGGAGAGAAAGGAAGGGAAGAAGGAAGGAAGGACAAAACTCACACTGGAAAGGAAAAAGTAAAACTGTCATCTGCAGATGACATGATCATATACATAAAAATTCTAAGTAATTGGCCGGGCGCGGTGGCTCACGCCTGTAATCCCAGCACTTTGGGAGGCCAAGGTGGGCAGATCATAAGATCAGGAGATCGACACCATCCTGGCTAACAGGGTGAAATGAAACACTGTCTCTACTAAAAATACAAAAAAAAAATTAACCGGGTGTGGTGGCGGGCGCCTGTAGTCCCAGCTACTCGGGAGGCTGAGGCAGGAGAATGCCATGAACCCGGGAGGTGGAGCTTGCAGTAAGCCAAGATCCTCGTGCCACTGCACTCCAGCCTGGGCGACAGAGCAAGACTCCGCCTCAAAAAAAAAAAAAAAATTCTAAGTAATTTACTAAAGGTCAATACACAAAATCAATTATATTTCTATATATTAACAATTAGCAATTTGAAAATGAAAATTTTTAGTCTGGGTGCAGTGGCTCATGCCCGTAATCCCAGCACTTTAAGAGACTGAGGTGGGTGGATCACTTGAGGTCAGGAGTTTGAGACCAGTCTGACCATTATGGTGAAACCCTGTCTCTACTAAAAATACAAAAATTGGCTGGGTATGGTGGTGTGTGCCTGTAATACCAGGTATTTGGGAGGCTGAGGCAGGAGAATCGCTTGAATCTAGGAGGTGGAGGTTGAAGTGAGCCAAGATTGTGCCACTGCACTCCAGCCTGGGTAATAGAGTGAGACGTCATCTCAAAAAAAAAAAAAAAAAAGAAAGAAAATGAAAAATTTTGAAAACTTCATTCACGATAGCTTAAAAATATACTTAGAAATTAATTTAACAAAAGATGTGCAAGACTTGTATATTGAAAACTACAAAACATTGCTATGGGAAATGAAAGATTGAAATAAATGAAAACATATACCATGTTCATGAAAGGGAAAATGCAATTATTTCCAAGATGGCAATTCTCCTCAAATTGAGGTACAGTAGATTCAATGCAATCCCAATCATGCTTTTTGTGAAGAAACTGACAAGCTGATTCTAGAACGCACAGGGAAAGGCAAAGGATGTAAAAGACTAAATGATTTTGAATACAGAAATACAAAGTTGGCTGGATGCGCTGCCTCACGCCTGTAATTCCAGCACTTTGGGAGGCCGAGGTGGGTGGATCACCTGAGGTTAGGAGTTCAAGACTAGCCTGGCTAACACGGCAAAACCCTGTCTCTACTAAAAATACAAAAATTAGCCGGGCGTGGTGGTAGGCACCTGTAATCCCAGCTACTCAGGAGGCTAACGCAGGAGAATCACCTGAACCCGGGAGGCAGAGGTTGCAGTGAACCAAGATTGTGCCACTGCACTCCAACCTGGATGATAGAGCAAGACTCCATGTCAAAAAAAAAAAAAAAAAAAAGAAAAGAAATACAAAGTTAAAAAACTTATACTACACGATTTCAAGACCTACTTAAAGGGAAAGCACAGACACACAGATCAATGGAACAGAGTAAGAATTCAGAAGGCTGGGTGTGGTGGCTCACGCCTGTAATCTCAGCACTTTGGGAGGCCGAGGCGGGTGGATCATGAGGTAAGGAGATTGAGATCATCCTGGCAATGGTGAAACCCCGTCTCTACTAAAAATACAAAAATTAGCCAGGCATGGTGGCATGTGCCTGTAATCCCAGCTACTTGAGAGGCTGAGGCAGAGGAATTACTTGAATACGGGAAGAAGAGGTTGCAGTGAGCCGAGATCGTGCCACTGCACTCCAGCCTGGGCGACAAAAGCGAGACTCCATCTCAAAAAAAAAAAAGAATTCAGAAGTAGATTTACACTTATATGGTCAACTGACTTTTGAGAAAGGTGCTAAGGTAATTTAATGGGGAAAGACTAGACTTTTCAACAAACTGGATATTAGTACAGAAAAAAAAAACCATGTCCCTTACCTTATACCATACACAAAATTAACTTGAAGTGGAACACAGACCTACATTTTAGAGCTAAAACTAGAAACTTTCTAAAAGAAAACATTTTTAAAATTATTTGTGAACTCGGTTAGGCAAGAATTTTTTAAGCAGGACATAAAAAGCATGGCTCATAAAATTTAAAAATGATAAAATTGACTTCATCAGAATTAAAATTTTTTGCTCTATGAAAGACACAATTAAATATTCTCAACCAATATTTGCAGAACACGGAACTGACAAAGGGTTTGTATCCCAATGTATAAAAAACTCAACTCAAAAGTAAGAACATAACAGCCCAATTAAAAACAAGAAAAACTGCCTGGGCAGCATAGCAAGACCTCATCTCTACAAAACATAATAAACTAGCCGGCTAGGTGCGGTAGCTTACCTGTGATCCCAGCACTTTGGGAGGCCGAGGTGGGTGGATTATGAGGTCAGGAGATGGAGACCATCCTGGCCAACATGGTGAAACTCTGTCTCTACCAAAAATACAAAAATTAGCTGGGTGTGGTGGCGTGTGCCTGTAGTCCCAGCTACTTGGGAGGCTGAGGCAGGCGAATTGCTTGAACCTGGGAGGTGGAGATTGCTGTGAGCCCAGATCGCACCACTACACTCCAGCCTGGCAACAGAGCAAGACTCAGTCTGAAAAAAAAAAAAAAAAAAAAAAAAAAAAAAAAGGCCAGGTGCAGTGGCTGAAGCCTGTAATCCTAGCACTTTGGGAGGCCAAGGTGGGTGGATCATGAGGACAAGAGATCGAGACCATCCTGGCCAACATGGTGAAACCCTGTCTCTACCAAAAATACAAAAATTAGCTGGGGGTGGTGGCGTGTGCCTGTAGTCCCAGCTACTCGGGAGGCTGAGGCAGGAGAACTGCTTGAACCTGGGAGATGGAGGTTGCAGTGAGCCGAGATCGCACCACTGCACTCCAGCCTGGGTGACAGAGTGAGACTCCATCTCAAAAAGAAAAAAAAATTAGCCAGGCATGGCGGTGCATGCTTGCAGTCCCTGCTGCTCAGGAGGCTGAAGTGGGAGGAACACTTGAGCCTGGGAGGTAGAGGCTGCAATGAGCCTGATGGCGCCACTGCACTACAGCCTGGGTGACAGAGCAACATCCTGTCTCAAAAAAAAAAAAAAAAGAAAAGAAAAAAGAAAAAGACTTAAGCAGATGCTTCACAAATTAACTTACCCGAATGGCAGATAAGCATAGGAAAAGATGTTTAACATCACTAGTCATTAGGGAATTGCAAATTGAAGCCACAATAAGGTACTATTATATATCCTATAATGGCTAAACTTAAAAAGAATGACAATATCAAGAGTTGGAAAGAATGGGGAAAAATTAAACTCTCACACACTGTCAGTGAAAATGTAAAAAGTGACAGTCATTTGGAAAATAGTATGGCAGTACATTACTGAGTTAAAATACGTGCACCATAGGACCCAGCATTTCCACTTCTACGTTTTTACCCAAGAGAATTAAAAACATACGTCCATACAAAGACTTGCACTTGAATTACGTTCAAGAAGAACTATTCTTTCTTTCCTTTCCTTTTTATTTATTTATTATTTATTTTTGAGACACAGTCTCGCTCTGCTGCCCAGGCTGGAGTGCAGTGGTGCGATCTCAGCTCACAGCAACCTCCACCTCCTGGGTTCAAGCGTTTCTCCTGCCTCAGCCTCCCAAGTAGGTGGGATTACAAGTGCCTGCTGCCATGCCAGACTAATTTTTGTATTTTTAGTAGAGATGGGGTTTCACCATGTTGGCTAGGCTGGTCTCGAATTCCTGACCTCAAGTGATCTGCCCGCATCAGCCTCCCAAAGTGCTGGGATTGCAGGCGTGAGCCACCACGCCCGGCTTCTTTTCTTTCTTTTTTCTTTTTACTCTGTAACCCAGGCTGGAGTGCAGAGGTATGAACATGGCTTACTGCAGCCCTGACCTCCTGAGCTCAACCAATCCTCCCACTTCAGCCTTCTGAGTAGCTGAGACTACAGGTGCATGTCACCACACTGGGCTAATTTTTAAATTTTTTTGTAGAGAAAGGGTCTTGCAATGTTGCTCAGGCTGGTCTTGAACTCCTGGCCTCAAGTAATCCTCCCACCTCAGCTTCCCAAAGCACTGGGATTACAGGCCTGAGCCACCGAGTCTGGCCTAGCATTATTCTTAATAACTAAAACTTGGAAACAAATAAATGTTCAGCATCTGGTAAATGCATAAACAATGGAATGAAAAAATGAAATACTACTCAGCAATAAATAAGAACAAAACATTGACACACACAACACCATGGATGGATCTCAAAAACGTTATGCTAAGTAAAAGAAATCGAAAACAAAACAGAATCAACTAGAGAAACAGAAAGTGGTCGGTGGCTACCTGGGGCTGGAAGTCAGGGGAGGAGACCAACTGCAAAGGCTTACAAGGACACTTTTTAACATAATAGAAAATGTTGTTTGTCTTGATGGTGGGGCTAGATCTATGCCTGTATGTGGTTGCCAAAATTTAAGTGTTCACTTAAAATGGTGAATTTTACTATATGTAAATTATACCTCAAAAAAGATGGGAAAATGTACTCTATGAACTCATGAAAGCTGAATCTGTGCAGTTGCTGAGTATACAATATGCAAATGGAAAAGTCATTATACCTCAAATCAGGGCATTATTTTCTGTTATTTTCCTTATGCTAAACATCAGGCCAGTACTGAGATGCCAACAGTACAATACTGGACATGTATTGCTGTAAAGTACTTACCTGTCCAGGCCGGGCGTGGTGTCTCATGCCTGTAATCCCAGCACTTTGGGAGGCCGAGGTGGGTGGATCACCTGAGGTCAGGATTTCGAGACCAGCCTGACCAACATGGTGAAACCCCATCTCTACCAAAAATACAAAAATTAGCCAGGTGTGTTGCTGTGCGCCTGTAATCCCAGCTATTTGGGAGGCTGAGGCAGGAGAATCGCTTGAGCCCAGGAGACAGAGGCTGCAGTGAGCTGAGATCGTGCCATTGCACTCCAGCCTGGGTGACAGAGCGAGACTCCATCTCAAAAAAAAAAAAAAAAAAAGAAGTGAGCCATCCAAACATATGAAAAATACTTAATTGAATTTTAAGGAATTTCGTTTCTAGTCCTATTCTTCCACTAATATCATGCATGACCTTGGGCCAGGTACTCAGCCAATACCTCAGTAAATGATAAGAGTTTTCAGAGATTCTCAATCTGAGGTCCATGCATCTCTCCTCATTGCCCCTGAAAGCGTCCTTGGATTCAGGGCATCTGGGAATTTGGATGGGAAAATGTGTATCTTTACGCATTTTCTTTACATAAATGTGTATCTTTGTTTTTACAACCTTTAACTGAAATTTAGCATTTCCTTCTATTATGAATATAGGCAACAATCTGCAGTGGCTTTAGCAGTAATAACTTTGGTACTAATAGAAATCACAGGTATTTTTATATCAAATTGTAAGTGTTGCCCATATCTCAAAATATTATTTACATTTATCACTATTTCAAAATTATGGTGGTTATTAGATATGCTACTGGATATTACTATTTAATGTGTTAACAAAGAAGCTATGTATCTGCTAAAGAAATGATATATCTGATTATAGATACATCTCTATATCATAACTTTTTAAAGATTTGATAACAGGTTCCACATAATCAGTTTCCTTTTTAGCACAGTATATTTTATTTTACGCAAAATACACTGTTCTACAGAATGGATCCACGGAATTCACCAAAGGAATCTTTGGCACAAAAAAAAACACCTGTTAAAAACTTCTGAGCTA
This sequence comes from Homo sapiens, assembly GCF_000001405.40. Taxonomy (NCBI): domain Eukaryota; kingdom Metazoa; phylum Chordata; class Mammalia; order Primates; family Hominidae; genus Homo; species Homo sapiens. Next base: position 28,255,965 of record NC_000002.12, on the reverse strand, counting down.
GGCCAGGCGTGGTGGCACACACCTGTAATCTCAGCACTTTGGGAGGCTATGGTGGGCGGATCACTTCAGCTCAGAAATTTAAGACCAGCCTGGGGAACATGGTGAAACTCTGTCTCCACAAAAAATACAAAAATTAGCTGAGTGTGGTGGTGTACACCTGTAATGCCAGCTACTCTGGAGGCTGAGGTGGGAGGATTACTTGGGCCTGGGAGGCTGAGGCTACAGTGAGCCAAGATCACACCACTACACTCCAGCCTGGGTGAGCGAGTGAGACCATGTCTCAAAAATATAAAAACAAACAAACAAACAAAAACTTCTAAGTTAGATGGCCTCTAACTGTTCATTCTAGTGCTAAGAATTCTATTAAAAACTAGCATTAAGACTGGATGGCAGCTGGGTGCTGTGGCTTATGCCTGTAATCCCAGCACTTTGGCAGGCCAAGGTGGGTGGATCACTTGAGGTCAGGAGTTCAAGACCAGCTTGGCCAGCATGGTGAAACCCCCATCTCTGCTAAAAATACAAAAATTAGCCGGGCATGACGGTGCATGTCTGTAATCCCAGCTACTTGGGAGGCTGAGTCAGGAGAATCGCTTGAACCTGGAAGGCTGAAGTTGCAGTGAGCTGAGATTGCACCACTGCACTCCAGCCTGGGCAACAAAGTGAGACTCCATCTTAAAAAAAAGACGGAATGGCTCAGATTCTAAATGAAATAACTAAAAACACTTTTTCTCCTATTTTCTAAAGAAAGGCTTTCAAGATTCACGGATTCTTACTTGTTCGGATCCTGATTTGAACAAAGCAAGTGCTAAAAAAAACCCACGTTTGAGACAAATGGGGAAATCTGAACACAAACTGGGTATTAGGTGATATTAATTAATTAGATGTCATAATACTATCGTCAATATATCTTTTTAAAAAATCCTTATCTGGGCTGGGTGCAGTGGCTCATGCCTGCAATCCCAGGACTTTGGGAAGCTGAGGTGGGAGGTTCACTAGAGGCCAGAAGTTTGAGACAAGCCTGGGCAACATAGTGAGACTCTGTCTTTATGGAAAAATTTTTAAAAAATTAGCTGGCATGGTGGTGTGTGTCTATAGTCCCAGCTACTCTGGAGGCTGAGGTGGGAGGGTCCCTTGAGTCCAGGAGTTTGAGGCTGCAATGAGCTAGATGATCACTCTACTGCACGTTGGCCTGGTCTACAGAGCAAGACCCTGTCTCAAAAAAAAAAAAAAAAAAAAATTGAAAAAAAATCCTTATCTGTTAGAGATACATAGTGAGGTATTTATAGGTAAAACAACATTTCCCTTGCATCAAAATATTCAGGAAATTAAAAAGGAGGCAGGATAGAAGAAACAAGGTATTCAAACTGCGATATGGGTGATAGCGGTTCACTATATTTTTCTTTCTACTTTCACGTTTGCTTGAAATTTCTACAATAATTTTTTTTTTTTTAATTAACAGGTTCTCAGGACAGATCCAACCCACAGAAATGTCTGGATTTATTCAGTTAAAAAAAACAACAATGGGCTGGGCATGGGCGTGGCGGCTCATGCCTGTAATCCCAGCACTTTGGGAGATCGAGGCGGGAGGATCACCTGAGGTCAGGAGTTCGAGACCAGCCTGGCCAACATAGTCAAACACCGTATCTACAAAAAATACAAAAATTATTTGGTCATGGTGGCACATGCCTGTAGTCCCAGATACTTGGGAGGCTGGGGCAGGAGAATTGCTTGAACCTGGGCAGCAGGGCTGGAATGAGCCGAGATCAACAATGAAGAGGATAGAAAGGAGTGTGCAGTTTGCCACAGTTCCTACTCCTCCAACCGTCTTAGAACCTGGGCTACTCCCACATCTAAATCACCTCTTTCTCAGGAGGCATTTGACCTTGTAGGTTAACATGAACTTTGTATGACAAACCATTATAACTGACCACATTCACTATGTCTAAACAGGTTAAATCACGTTTTTGGTAATCAGTAGCTCTTTCATTCCTTAATAAGCTGCTTAGTTTTGTTCTTTCAATGGCCAAAAATGAATCCCTACCTTGAGCCAGTAGTTTGTGCCACAGGACAGGGGATTATAAGTGAACAACCTGTCACCTCCACTGAGGAACAACTCCAGCTTAATGCCCCGTTGTCTTCAGAACAGTAATGTCTCTGCTGAGACATCCACTCCATTCCTGAGAGATGAGATAGTCTCCATATCTCTCTGACCTGTGCATGGCTGCAGACACTGACCCTCTGCTCTTGTTCTTGGGGCTTACAGGGTTTCCGTGAAGCTCTAAAGGCTTTTGAAATTTATCACACATACCTGGGGATACTGTCAAACAATTATCTGAAACAGCAGAGTAATGTAGTTTAGCACATGGGATCTAGAGTCTATTCCTGGATTTAAACACTAGCTCTGTCATTTAATCTTGCTGTGCCAGTTTTGTTATTTGTAAAATGGGTTATTCTGGTAATTAACCTCAGAAAGATGTTCTGCAGATTAAATAACATAACATATGCAAAGTACTGAGAACAGTGTCTAGAGCATGGTATACACTCCATACTTTTTTTTTTTTTTTGAGACAAAGTCTTGCTCTGTCACACAGGCCTGAGTACAGTGGTGCCATCTTGGCTCACTGCAACCTCCACTTCCTGGGTTCAAGCAATTCTCATGCCTCAACCTCCTGAGTAGCTGGGATTACAGGCGCATGCCACCACACCTGGCTAATTTTCTTTTTTTTTTAGTAGAGGCAGGGTTTCACCATGTTGGCCAAGTCTTGAACTCCTGACCTCAGGTGATCCATCCGCTTTGGCCACCCAAAGTGCTAGGATTACGGGCATGAGCCACCGCACTCAGCCTTCACTCCATACCTGTGAACTGTTATTGCTATTATTTTCAACAACAGCAGAAGCTCTGCACCAAAACATAATAATGCCCATGCTTCACCAATGTCAACAGTACTTTAATATTAATTCTAAGAAAAGGTTATACTGAACTACATCAATAACATAAGAGTTACTCTGTAAACAGCTTCCTTTCTTTCACTGGGTAAGATGACTTCTTGAGTTACAGTTGTTAATTTGACAGCATGTCAAAAATCACTGAGAAGTCAAAATTGCTAATTTTTCAAGACCTTTCTTTGATCAGAAACACTTGCTTTGGCAATTACTTAATCCAATAATTACAACTGAAAAGATTCATACAACATATATAAGAGGGTACAGGGGAAAAATTCATTGCATGATTGTGCAAGTGATTTACAACCTTCTTCCTTAAAAGAAATCCTTTAAGGTCACTAAAAAGGGGTCATGTAATTCTAAGGTATTATAATGAAGACAATATTCCCAGTGAAGATTAATCCAGTAAGTTCTCAAACTAGTGTCAGAAATTACAAAACAGGCTTTCTGGAAGTAAACTCTAAAGATGAAACAGAAGTTTCAATTTGAGTCAAAATAGTGACAGTGGTTGCTGAAGGACTGGAGCTCTCTGAACTGTAAACCGGGCGAAGGGTGTGCTTGTGTGTATAATCAAAAGATGAAAACCACTTTGCCTAGTAGAGCTAACCACTTTCAAGGAAGTCTCAGTATAAAAATTAACCAAAATGTAAAAGTATCTAAAGGACTCAGTAGTTCCCATAATTAAAGCAAAAAGGCATTTAGTAAATTTTCTTTTATCTTTTTCCATATTCTTTTATCATTCGGAACAATATTAGAGAACTGACTGGTTTGATATTTTGTTGATAATTAATTTTCATTCCTGTTGCTTTGATAGTTTTTTTGCTTTTTTTTTTTTTGAGATGGAGTTTCACTCCTCTTGCCCAGGGTGGAGTGCAACGGCACGTTCTCGGCTCACTGCAACCTCCACCTCCCAGGTTCAAGCGATTCTCCTATCTCAGCCTCTCCCAAGAAGCTGAGATTACAGGTGCCACCACACTTGGCTAATTTTTGTATTTTTAGTAGAGACAGGGTTTCACCATGTTTCGGCTGATCTCGAACTCCTGACCTCAGGTGATCTACCCACCTTGGCCTCCCCAAGTGCTGGGATTACGGGCATGAGCCACTGCACCTAGCCTGATAGTTATTAATACTAGAAATGATAAAATTAAACTAAGAATCTTTATGTCTGATATGAGGTAAACATGGTAATTCTAAAATAATATTACACTTTCTATAGATTTGGCTTGAAACAAATTCTAACACATAGCATTGTGGTTCTTAATTTTAATTATTTTACTGATTCCGATTTGCTTTTCAAGTATATTCCTTTATATAAAGATGTGAACTGTATCCAAAAAAGTAAGCAGGTTTTGAGCAACATCACAGTTTTGGTTTTACCGATTTATGTAGTAGCCATCTTGTTTGTTGAGTGCTAAATATTCTACGACGAAACACTGTTTCTATAGCGGGCAGATGAAAGTCTACCTCGCTTAGCTCAGGAACTGAGTGGCTGCTACTACGACAGCTTTGTGTTTTAGTGGTGAGGTGACAGTGCGACATCAATGCAAATAATTTCCTTGGTTATACCAGGAATTGGAGAGCCTGACAAAATCAGAGCTCGGCAGAAGCATTTGTAGCAATAAACAGAAGCTTCTGATTTTTACTTAAAATTTCAAAAGCTGTCCTGATTTCTAATTTATTGGCCTTGATTACAGGCCTATAAGGAAAGAATTATTTAAATGACTACCAGAATTAGTCTGAAGTTGTTGATTTCCTCTGGCTTAAAAAAAAAAAGTCTTACCAGAAACTGTGTTCTCTGAAAAACAAAATAATTGCTTTCCTTTTACTTAATGTCAACTGAAAACCAATGAATGAACAAATGAACAAACAGATAGTTAAAGACAAATACAGAAAGAATAATACTAAGACATCTGTGTGAACATTAGTCATTTAAAATAAAGAAAAACATCAGAGTAAGAACCTTATCATTCATTAGACTGAATAAACACTGCCACCCCAGCCCCAATCCTACAGCTCTGAAATGGAGGAACACAGCAATCAAAGTCTTGCAAAGATACACTGGAAATAATGTGCAGGGCAAAATCCAAAGATAACTTTTTTTCTCTTTTAAAAACATAAGACTGTGGCTGGGCGTGGTGGCTCACGCCTGTAATCCTAGCACTTTGGGAAGCCATGGCGGGTAGATCACGAGGTCAGGAGATCAAGACCATCCTGGCTAACACGGCAAAACCCTGTCTCTACTAAAAACACAAAAAATTAGCCGGGAGTGGTGGCACATGCCTGTAATCCTAGCTACTCAGGAGGCTGAGGCAGGAGAATTGCTTGAACCTGGGAGGCGGAGGTTGCTGTGAGCTGAGATCGTGCCACTGCACTCCAGCCTGGGCGACAGAGCGAGACCCCGTCTCAAAAACAAAACAAACAAACAAACAAAAAAAAAAGAAAAAAATATATATGATTGTTTATAGTAATGACAGAAAAAGCTATATTGTTGTGTTTATATTATAACATATATACATGTAATATATATGACAATTAATAGAACAAATAAGCGGGAGGACAAGGAGCAATGTTGCTATATTTTACCAGAATGAAGGTATTATTAATCTTAAGGCAATTATGTTAAAGATGCATATTGTAATCTCTAGAATAAACCGCTAAGAAAGTAATTCAATATTAGATAGCTAAAAAAAAAAAAAAAAAAAAAGTTCAACAAATGCCCTTCCCCTTACTCACTGTGCTCCAGCCACGCCTGCTTCAGCAGAGCTCTTTGCTGCCTCAGGGCTCAGGGCTTTTGCACAGGGACTGCCTTCCCTGGAATTGCCTTCCTTGGCTGTCTGAATCACTGCTAAGGTCTCAGCGGAAATGTCACCCTCTATAGGAGGTCTTCCCTATAGAAGCATAGGGAAGACCTCACAGCATCTCCTCACAGCATCTTCCTCATCTTCCTCACAGCATCTCCTTCTTATTCTCTATTCATAGCCTTTTACTTTGTTCCATCACGCTATTTGTCACCTTTTGAATGTATATATTTGTTAAGTTTATGTCTTTATTGTCTGTTTTTCTCATTAGACTTCATTAAGAAAGACAAGAAGCTGGGTGTGGTGGCTCATGCCTGTAATCCCAACACTTTGGGAGGCTGAGGCAGGTGGATCCCTTGAGCCCGAGGTGTTTTGAGACCAGCCTGGGAAACAGCAAAACCTCGTCCCTACATAAAATTAGCTGGGCGTCATGGCGCTTATGTATAGTTCCAGCTACTTGGGAGGCTAAGGTGGGAGGATCACCTGAGCCCAGGAAGTTGAGGCTACAGTGAGCCATGATTGCACCACTGCACTCCAGTCTGGAGAGAGAGAAAGAAGACCTCCCCCAGACCAAGACATATAACATATGAGCCTCTCTCATATAACTGTGTCTTGCATAAAGTAGACAAGTCATAAAATATTTGTTTTAAAAATGCATACCATTGTACTTCACCTTGACCTAATCTTTTTTCTCATCAACTAGACAAGAAGTTGGCAAACTTCTGTGAAGGGTCAAATATTTTAGGTCTTGCAAACCATATACTGTCTCTGCTGCATATTCTTCTGCTTCTTTCTGTTTTCTAAGAATCCTTTTAAAATATAAAAGCTACCCTTAGGGCAGGGTGCAGTGGCTCACACCTATAATCCCAGCACTTTGGGAGGCCTAGGCGGGTAGATTGCTTGAGGCCAGGAGTTCAAGATCAGCCTGGGTAACGTGGTGAAACCCGGTCTCTACTAAAAATACAAAAATTAGCCGGGCATGGTGGCACATGCCTGTAGTCCCAGCTACTCGGGAGGCTGAGGCAGAAGAAACGCTTGAACTCAAGGTGGCGGAGGCTGCAGTGAGCCAAGATCACACTACCGCATTCCAGCCTGGGCAACAGAGTGAGACGCTGTTTCCAAAAAAAAAAAAAAAAACAAGCAAACAAACAAACAAAAAGCTATACTTAGCTCAAGGGCCCTATAAAAACAGGCTGACACGGGATTTGGCCCACAGGCTGTAGTTTTCTAATTTCTGTGCTATGTTACTGTAAGTATCTTAAGGTCAACTCTGAGTTATATACTTATATCCCCTAATACCTCGCATAGTACTGAGCATGCAGTAGGTTCTTAGTAAACTCAGAACTCAGTTAAGTTGGAGGTAGAGGAAAACAAGAGAAAAAAGTGGTCAGATTTGGTCTAACAGGAATTTTACCAGGGAGAAAAGGCCTACAGTCCAGGCTGAATGACTCAAAGGGTCATTTACCAAAGATTTATAGGTAATGGAAAAAGACAGCTTGTCATACAGTCACAAATCTCAATACTCAATTGTCTCCCCTTCTAAGCAGCAACTCTGCTCCTGTAGACAGCTGCCTCCTTGTGTGTCTACTTACAGTGCAGTTGACTGGGACCCACAAAAAAAGCATGTAGCTTTTCCCCAGAGGATTTTTTTTGTTCTGTTACTTCGCCTTGCTATCTGGTTCTCTTGCCACGCTGCATTCTGAAAAGCTACTAGTGGACCAGGCGCGGTGGCTCACGCCTGTAATCCCAGCACTTTGGGAAGCTGAGGCAGGTGGATCACCTGAGGTCGGGAGTTTGAGACCAGCCTGACCAACACGGAGAAACTCCGTTTCTACTAAAATTACAAAATTAGCCAGGCATGGTGGCGCATGCCTGTAATCCCAGCTACTCGAGAGGCTGAGGCAGGAGAATTGCTTGAACCTGGGAGGCAGAGGTTGCAGTGAGCCGAGATCCCGTCATTCCACTCCAACCTGGGCAACAAGAGCAAAACTCCGTCTCAAAAAAAAAAAAAAAAAAAGAAAAAGAAAATAAACAAAAGCTACTAGCTTAAAGGTAACATCTACCTCCAGAGGTAAGCATAATTTGGCAAATATGGAATTGCCTATACAACTGCTATGAATAATTCTTAGATGATGGCCAGGAAAGTTTCCTAAAAATAGTTTCTGGATGGGAGCAAGTTTCTGATCCTGCTACAGTTCCAAGATTTGAGACATGCTGAAAATGAATGATGTAAGGAAGGAATAAGTGGATGGAAATGCTCCATGGCCACAATCATGGCCACAGTCCCCACTCCTGGAACTGCCAGAATGCCAGGATGTTGCAGTACCTCCTGAGAGATCCCAGAATCTGTGCAATGCTTTTCCTTAAGGCAATCTGCTTTTTCAAAGTCTGGCAAAGTCTGAGGTCAGAGCTGTCTGTCTCAAGAAGAGTGCCTCTTTCCTCTAGCATCCAAAATGCACATAATTATTGCCAGGAGCTATCCTATCAATAGCAATTATCCTGGGCCCGAGGAGAATAGGGAGGAAGGGGAGAACAGAGATGCTATTTCATGTCCTGCTAGGTCTTCAACCTCCATGAAGTAGTAGAGGCAGCCACAGGGGAATGGCTCTATTTCCAGGCACTTCCTTCCTCCTTTTCACCTCTTGAGATCTCAGAATAATTCACTGCAATGTTCTTTGTTAAGTCTCTGCCACCTCATATTCCCCTCCCCATCTTCATGGAAGGGAGAAAAAGGAACAAGTGGTCCCTTGGGCATTGTAACCAAGCCAGCAGATGCTTCCAAAGGAAGGTAAGTGTCAGATGCTTAACTGCATGACTAAGTAAAACACATTATCTAACCAAGCTTCACTCCGAGGTAGCAAGTCCTATATTTTAGATAAGAAAAAAGGAAATGGGTGAAAATAATTTATTTAAAGACAGGCTGTGAGTTAGTGAGGGAGCAGGAAACAGCATCAAAGTCCTTTGGTTCACAGGCAGGGTCTTATCTGCCAGAAGAGCCAAGAGTGTGGCAGTGATGCTAAGAGACAGGGACCAAACAGCCGGGGGAGTACAGGAATAAGAGCTCCAGGAAACACTGGAAAAAGTCAATTAAACAACTCCCAAGGTCCCGGGTAGCTGTTCTAATGAGTGCCTGGGGGTTCTATGTTTCTGAAGAAGGTAATTCAAAATGAAATGAAAAGATGACTTTGGGACTCAATTCTGCATGTCTGATTTGGAAAAGCTAAGATAGAAAGGCAGAGAAGGAGCTGTAAGAAATACTGAACACATGGTACCAAGGAGAAAATATTCTGTGGGGAATAAACCTTCAAAAGCAACAGCAATAGCTACATTACTGAATGTACTGACAAACGAGTTGGCAGGAGCTGAGAGGTGAATGTTCTTTTATCTCTGACCATCATTGCAAGTGACAATTTCTTCTTGCTAGCAACCACCAGAATAGTCATCTTTGAGTTGCATGTGGAAAACATAGGTTATAATTGAGCAATGCCATGAAATATATTTTTCCCCTTATTCTGATATGATCTGACATCAACAGAAAGTAGAACCATGGCTAGGAGACTAAAGATTCAGGAAAAAAGACAGGCTATTATGTCACTTGGAGATGAAGGAACTGGTTGAAGCATTCATCTTAGTGTCTGCAATTGTCCTGCTGTGATGGAGTTGTCCACAGCCACTCAGGAGGCACGAGGCCGTCACCACCATCATTTGAGGTAAGGCCCAGGTCCCTCTTGAGCTGGGTTAGGATAATCACACCAGACAACCTTCCCAAGTCACAAGAGATATGAATAAATTAAGGAAGCAATCAAGATCTGCCGTTGGGTCATCAGGTTACAGAAAGAATCACTGGGACCAAGGTCGTAAGGTAAAGTGAATACAGCAAATAGGAAGTGAGATTTCACAAAGGAATTAAGCCACAGAATGCCAAACCAAAGCAAGGATATATAAGGTCAGAATCAAAAGTGGTGGCTGCAGTACCAGTGTTAGGCTCAGATTAGTAGGGCCATCGAAGACACTGAGCAAAGAGGAGATTGCCAGGAGGCCTTGATTGTGGGGCTTCCTCCTTACCTGGCCCCACACTGTAGGTTATGATGGTGACAAGGTGCCTGACACCTTGAAAAGTGGTGATTGTTGGGCAACACCTCAAGGCAGAGAGGCCCATCTCCTTAAAACTGTGGCCTGCGCTCGATCATCTCTATATGAATTTTACCATGATAAGGTTTTACTTAGACGTTTTCTTCTTTCTGCCACTATGGATGTTTTTTTGGTTTCTGCCCTTACTATCTATTGGTGTGTAATCAGATAGAAAAATGAACTTAAGAACTATTTTAACCAAAGCAAATCATAACGAAGAAGGTAAATCTGCTGCAGAAGAAAAATCCCTTAAAGTCAGTATCTTTACACTGTCTGATGCCTTGGCTAAATACAGCCAAAGTTATTCCTCCTGCAGTAGTTTATTAAGGCATAGGGTAAGTTCTAAAAGCCATGGGTTTGAGTGAAGTCAATTCAAACCCACTGCTTTTCTCTAACTCAAGCTGGGAAAGTTGGCTCCTTTGCCTTGGCCTGAAGACTGAACATTGTACGTACCAAATTACTGCAGAATGAAGGTCTCAGTTGACTTGCAACTTGAACCTGACTCCATGGGTCACTGGTTCTTACATAATCAGGAAATAAAAAGACTCTAAATTATCTATCAAGAGAAAGCTGGGTCGATGTTTACAGACTGATGGATTAATATGTGACAACCACCATTAGGTATGCCTACTACGCAGAAGAACATGAAGAAATGATGTTGGGGATACATTAAAACATTACCCCATCTTTAAGTTATGTATTACATTTTATCAAAGTTGTAGACTTTTCATTGAATAAGGATGATAACCAAATGATCACAGCAGGTATGTTTCCAATAATACCAAAAGTCTTGAGGCCTGATACTGGAAAGATAATTAGAAACAGAATCTGTTTAGGGTAAGGTTTCTCTAGCTTGGCAATACTGAGATTTTGCATTCAATAATTTTTTGTGTGTGTGTGTGAGGGGCTGTCATGTGCATTGTAGGATGTTTAGCTGCATCACTGACCTCTACCCATTAGATGCCAGTAGCAAATCCCCACCCCCTCAGTCATAACAATCAAAAATGTCTCCAGGCATTGCCAAACGTCCCCTGAGGTGCAAAATTGCTCCAGTGGTTGAGAACCACCGGCCTAGAGATATTTTCTCCTTAATATCCCACAATAAATATATATATACGCTACAGTAAAAGGAACCGAGACAGGACAGAAAAGGTTCTAGTACTGATTATTACATGTGGTTTAGGACATTTAAAAATGTATGCTGACATGCTGACAGCAAAAGTATACTCACTGTGTACAAGAAAACAAAAATCTTTCCACATCAGCAGCAGAGTGAGTTTTGTAAAGCCTTCTGCATCATATTCCACGACACCTCTAAGTAATAAAAACATACACACACAAACAAAAAAAACCCTCATAAAATTAAGGTATAAAAGCAATAAAACCAAGTAAAGAATATATTCGTGAAGTCAGGGTTATTGACTTTGAGATGGGTTTAAGGCAAGTGAGGATTAATGCAGGAAGGGCCTGGGGTTTGGAATGACAGTATCTAGGTTTAAGTCACAGCTTTGCCATTGACTATCTACTATGACCTCAGGCAAATCACTTAACCTTTGCAGCCTCAGTTTCCTTACCTGCAAAACAAGTATAAAAATATTTGCAAAATTCATTACAGGGTTGTGAAAAACAAATAAGATAAATCATAAAATACTATACAAATGTGAGTTATTACATTAATTATGAGTAGAAGGACATATTAAGAAATCAAGTCAGCAATGACACTACAATGCCAAATGTCAGCATACTACCTGTACAGTGATTGTTAAGTCTGACTTTCACTGGGCACTACATAGTAATATGCAATGACAGTATTACTAAATTTAGTATTATATATTACTTTTCTTCTTGAGCTGGGTTAGGGCAATCACACCAGACAACTGTGTCCCCTTTCACTGTGTTCCCCTGTCCTTCCCACTGGGCTTAAGGCAAAGTAGCAACACTAGATGGGTGGATGCTGGGTTCAGGAAGGGAGATGCATATTTCATGTGTCAAAAGAAAACATCCCCTGACCTCTGAATGGGCCAAGGCGCAATTCTGTAGCCTCAACTCATCCATTTCCCTCAAGAGCTGAGCGCCTGGAGGATGTCGCCATAATGTGACAATACTAACCACACTAAGGACAGATATAATTTTCTTTCTCATCCATACAAGGAGGACTCTGATGTCCTTAGAGATGCCTTATCCCTGACCAAACCAGGCCAATCAGACCACTGATATTGATGCCCGCCCAGTTTAAGTTGGAAGGAACAGTTATACCCCTTATAAAGGTAAAAGAACTAAGATACTGAAGGGTAAGTGATCTGCTAAAAAATGGTTGGTATATCATTCAGATCTTAAGTCGACAATTCTTTAGTTTATATTTCTATGAATTTATTTATTTTTTTTTTGAGACAGAGTCTCACCCTATTGCCCAAGCTGGAGTGCAGTGGTGCGATCTTGGCTCACTGCAACCTCTGCCTCCTAGGTTCAGGCAATTCTCCTGCCTCAGCCTTCCGAATAGCTGGGATTACAGGCACCTGCCACTATGCCCGGCTAATTTTTTTTTAATTTTTAAATTTTTTTGAGATGGAGTCTAGCTCTGTTGCCCAGGCTAGAGTATAGTGGCATGATCTCGGTTCACTGCAACCTCCGCCTCCCGGGTTCAAGAGATTCTCCTGCCTCAGCCTCCCAAGTAGCTGGGATTACAGGCACCCGCCACCACGCCCAGCTAATTTTTGTATTTTTAGTAGAGACGGGGTTTCACTGTGTTGGTCAGGCTGGTCTCGAACTCCTGACCTCATGATCCGCCCGCCTCGGCCTCCCAAAGTGCTGGGATTACAAGTGTGAGCCACTGTGCCTGGCCTCTCTATGAATTTATAATTAGCCCAATAATGTTATAGTGCTGATATCAATACTTTTCAGATCCTGCATCCCACAGGCAAAGACAAGTATATAGTCCTTTTTAGTATACTACTGTACTACATGCATAATAAAATGTACACAAAAAAGTACATTAAAAAAGTGAGACTTGAAAGCAAATGTCAATGTAATTTTCATATATTTCTTATACTTCAATAGAGTGAGCTGTGTAACTTCTGGGGTGTGTGTACTACATTTTGGAGGCCACTGTGCTAGCTTCTTCATGTTTAATTATATATACTAAAGATAATCTTACTTAAAAATAAGAAGATCAATGGTATTATTTATTAACCACTATTTGTATCAAAAGTACTTTCTCAAAATGTTCACAAAGCTGAAAAAAATCTTAAGTATTAAAGACTCATGTGAGAGGCAGTCATACTGTTTGGTTATTGACACTTCTATTTCGGAGAAATGAAAAATTCCATTATGGGAATGAGAAAAATGTCTTAAAATTGGTTTGAGGAGTCAGAAATTTTCTTATAATTGTGCCATGGTTTGAAAATTATATCCCAGAGGGTGACAAATCATTTTCTTGGTTTCATCTTCTCTCCCTATTCCTAATTTCCTTATTTAAAATTTTAATTTTGTATTACTAGATATATTTATATATTTATAAGCCTTCTGTGGAATAAGGTGGGCTATCATCAGACCTCTAAAATCCTTAGTGCCTCGTTAACGACAATGGGTAGAATGTTCTATCTTCTAAAGATCGTGAGGAAAATGCATTCCCTGTCTCACTGAGCAAAGCCTGAGAAGAAGCTTGATCAGGCCTCTGACTTACTTAAGGAAACAGGGCTGCAGGGCAGCACAGCCACAGGCAGCCAGAAGGAAAGGGCAAAGGCACAGGGATGGAGCAGCCAGAGGCGCCCATGGTGTCACAGGCTTCCCTCTCCCCTATCGGTGCTTGCTTTCAACTCCTAACCTCAAGTGCGAGCCACCGCTTTTGCATCGAATGCTGGATTTCCTGCCCGGATCTGTGTGGCACTGTTGGCAGTGGAGTCCTAGCAGGAGACCTGAGTGCTGGGGAAATGGGGTTCCTGCCCTGGCTCCACTTCTTCTAGGGGCGCGACTTCCATTGGGTTACTGAACTTACCGCAATTTCAGAGCTTCTTCAACAAAATGTGCCGGTGATGCCTGCCTGGTTCACCCCATGGCTACTGTGAGGGCATGGAGGTGAAAAGTGCTATGCAAATTGTAGAGAGTTCTACAAAAAGTGACCGTTACCACCATTACTACTGTTGAGTTCAGGGCTGTCCAGGCTGCTGCTCTAGGGAAGATATTTGATTCTACTATTTGCCAAAGAGTACCGAAAAAAAAAAAAAAAAAAAGGGATCCTGGGAGCTTTGGTATGAACAGCATACCAAAAAGGATCAAAGTGGCATTAAAAAGGTATCATGTGGGGCTGGGTGTGGTGGCTCACGCCTGTAATCCCAGCACTTTGGGAGGCCAAGGTGGGCGGATCACAAGGTCAGGAGTTTGAGACCAGCCTGGACAACATGGTGAAACCCCGTCTCTACTAAAAATACAAAAATTTGCTGGGTGTGGTGGCCCATGCCTATAATCCCAGCTACTCAGGAGACTGAGGCAGGAGAATCGCTTGAACTCGGGAAGTGGAGGTTGCAGTAAGCCAAGATCATGTCATTACACTCCAGCCTGGGTGACAGAGCGAGACTGTCTCAAAAAAAAAAAAGGTATCATGTGTAAGAACTAAGTGCTATTTTCTTAATCAAGCCCCCATGTTGAGGTCATCAGCAAGCGAGGGCATCACCGGTATATCGTTCAAACAGGGCAGAACTTACGTGCCAAAGTGACTGAGAAAAGCAGCAATATACTCTCTTCTTTTGTGATACCCTTGAATCACGTACTGCACCTGGAATAGAAACCCAAAGCTGAGAAGTAGAGTGGGAATCTTTTAAATGCTTTATTATAAGAAATTTCAAAGATTCAGAGAAGCAGAAAGAATAGTAAAGTGAACACCGGTATTCCCACTACCTACATTCAACAACTGTGACTATTGTGCCTACTTGCTTCCTCCAGCCATCCATCTATCTATCAACCTATCAATCAACACTTCAAAGGAAATGAGAGACATCATGACAGTTCACTCTTAAATATTTCAGTATGCATCTCTAAAAAATAAAACTTTCTTCTACATAACCACAATACCATTATTGTACCCAACAAATTTAGCAATTGGTCTCTGAATTCATCTAGTACCCTGTCCATTTTCAAAATTTCCTAATTGTCCCCAAAATGTTTATTTTTATTTTTTAATTCAAAAGAATTAAAATAAATGGGTTTTTTTTGTTTTTTTTTTTTTTTGAGACAGAGTCTCGCTCTTGTTGCCCAGGCTGGAGTGCAATGGCGCGATCTTAGCTCACTGCAACCTCCACCTCCTGGGTTCAAGTGATTCTCCTCCCTCAGCCTCCCAAGTAGCTGGGATTATAGGAGTCCGCCACTATGCCCTGCTAATTTTTGTATTTTTAGTAGAGACGAGGTTTCACCATGTTGGGCAGGCTGGTCTCGAACTCCTGACTTCAGATGATCAGCCTGCCTCAGCCTCCCAAAGTCCTAGGATTACAGGTGTGAGCCACTGAGCCTGGCCCAAAATGTTTTTTAAAAAACAATGTATGATTAAGGATCAGCCATTTGTTTTTAATGCCTTTTAAGTTTCTAAATCTATAATAAATAGTGCCTCCTTGAGTGTGTGTATGTGTGTGTGCCTGCATGCACATATATGACACTAATTTTTCAAATAAATTGGGCTATGTCCAGATGTGGAATCTCACTCATATAATCCCAGTATTTTGGGAGTCTGAAGCAGGAGGATTACTTCAGGCCAGGAATTCAAGACCAGCCTCAGCAACACAGCCAGACCTCATCTCTACAAAAAATAAAAGAAATATTAGCTGGGTATGGTGATATGCACCTATAGCCCTAGCTACTCGGGAGCCTGAGGCAGGAGGAATGCTTGAGCCCAGGAGTTCAAGGCTGCATTGAGCTTAGAAGGCATCACTGCACCCCAGCCTGGGCGACCTCATCTCTTTAAAAGAGCAAGATCTTATCTCTTAAAAAAAAAAAAAGAAAAAAGAAAACAAATTGTGCTAGTAGTCTTGTAGAACGTCTCAATTCTGTTTTCTTTCTTTTTCCTTTACTCTCTGTATTTCCAATAAATTAGAAATTAGAGCTAAAGGGTGATTAGGTCCAGGTTGAACATTTTTGGCAAGAAAACTTCCTAGATGATACTGGGCCTGATCACTTGGCTAAGGTGACAACAGCCAGACCCCTCCAATGGAAGGGAATGCTCCCTCTGCCACAGTGAATAGTCTATGGACATACCCTCTGAAGCAGCGGAAAACCTAGTTTCCCATCAACCTTTCACCTAATGGTTTTAGTATTTACTGGAGATCCTTGTCTGAATCAATGATTTCATTAGGGACTGCAAAATGATGATTTTTGAATCCCATCATTCCTTTTGCATACATCAGCTGACATACTCTGTAAAGAGCTTTCTCTCATCAAATGGGGTTATTTGGTTATCTTGAGCTCCTATTAAAAAAGGCAGAATAATACTTCTCTCATTTTAAAATTCTGATATTCAGAATAAGGAGTATTACAATAGGAGATTTTATTTTGCTTTGCCTTTTTATATTTCCTCATTATCACCCAATGACAGTTTCTATAAAAAAATTGCAAACTCATTAAGCTAGGCATCTGAAAGTTAGTCATTTACCCACCAGCTTCTAACACGAAAACACATTCCTTATAATGTTCTCATGATGGCTGGAAGAAACAGTGGGAAGGAGAGACCCCCAAAATTGTTTATATTGGCTATAGCCACACTGAGTTTCCATGGCTAACAAAAGCTCAAGATAAAGTGCTTGAAATAACCTTGACACAATTGGTACTGATAGCCATGTTGAACCCTTTAAATGTAAAACAATTCTATTTATATAATAGGGGTTTATGTCAATTTATAAAAACAGTGCTTACTTTGCAGGCTTAATGCGGGATCAGAAATGTTATTTTGAGAAAAGAAAAACAGATGATAAGTTTGCTTAAGTGGCTTTGTTTAAAAAGGGGATGAAAACAGTTCTGTATACTTGATTTTAAAAACAGAAAACCATTTTAACAGAAACCCACAACAAAACTGGCTATAAAGATAGATTCCAATATAATTATGGAAATTCATTTGAAGAGATTGTTTCTAAAAGCAGCCCATACTGTCCTCATTTGTAGCAAACAGAAGAACATCAATTTCAAAAGACAAGTAAAATTAATGAAAGGAAACCAGATAAGAAAAATTGACTGATTCTTATATTTCTGGGAAAACGGTGTTATAATTTTTTTTTGAGGAAAATGTATGACTAGAAATTAATCTCAATTGGAGAGCTTTAAAAAGGCTTTTCTTCTCCGTTCTAGAAGACCAAATTTGCATGTTTCTCTATAATTCTGGGACACAGATTTGAAGGCAGTGCAAAGCCCCAGAATGTAAATAAGAATTCTGTCCTCCGATCAGTTTTGCAGGAGGGCAGAGGCTGGGGAGATTTGGTCTGATGAGAAGCAACCCCTGCATGAGGGTTAAAGCCTGGAATCTGTGCCAGGCCCACAGACGGTGGAGTTGCTAGATTTTAGTTTCTCTGACATTTGAAAAATAATACTGAAGCTCTTGAAATATTATTGTACTTTTAAACTATTTTCTATATAGAAGTGAGCTATCTTTTGAGTGAAAGAGACAAACAAAAGATCTATTTTTCCAAGCCAATGTGAACAAGTCAACAGGAGCAAAGAAATTGCACTCTGGCAACTAAACAAACTGAGTCACAGTCCATGTGGGAGAAGAAAGAGAGTCAGCATTGTTTGTGCATCAGTATCACTAGTTTTCAGCTAAATATACTAGCTGGACATTAACAAGTATATTCTTACACTTTTTGGAAATATCTAACAATAACCGTTAGACTCAGCTACTTGCTAATGAAATGGCTCATTGATGTAGCTAAGAGAAGCTTTAGATCATCTGACTGAGTATAAGACCAGCTGACTGGCTGGGCGCGGTGGCTCACGCCTGTAATCCCAGCACTTTGGGAGGCTGAGGTAGGCAGATCATCTGAAGTCAGGAGTTTGAGACTAGCCTGGCCAACATGGTGAACCCTCATCTCTACTAAAAATATAAAAATTAGCCAGGCCTGGTGGCGGGTGTCTGTAATCCCAGCTACTCAGGAGGCTGAGGCAGGAGAATCGCTTGAACCCGGGAGGAGGTTGCGGTCAGCCGAGATCGCGCCACTACATTCCAGCCCAGGCGACAGAGTGAGACTCTGTCTCAAAAAAAATAAAAATAAAAAGACCAGCTGACTTGGGAATCTTACCCCTAGGCACAGGACTCTGGTGAACTGCTCCCAGATATGACGGGAAGAATCAAAGGCTGACTATTAAAAAGTAAGGTACAGAAACACAGAGAGGGATGAAGGTAGTTTTAAACAATTACGCGGATACCAACTACTGCCAAACACATGCACACACGTGTGCATGCACTGGATAATTGGGAAGCAATGGGGTTCCAAAGTTTTAAAGTTTAAGAAGGTGCAAGATCTGGCAAAAACTGGGTAAAGGAAATTCAAGAAAGACGTGACTTAAATCCCAGACATAAAGTTAAGAGATGAAGATAAGACTGGAAAAGGAGGTCAGAATCCTTAGAAAAGGAAGAAGGAGGGCAAAGAAATGGGGAGAGAAACAGATTAACTGTAATTCACAGTAGGAAGGGCAGGTGTCAGATGGAGGCTGAAACTGAGCAGTCGGTCCGAGAAGGATGGAGCATGCACGATGATTTTGGGTACGTGGTGGACTGGAGGAAGAAATCTCATAAGAGGGATGAGTTGGGGACTTGCTTTTACCTTGTTGGTGAGCAGGTGGCATACTTGAGGAACGTAATCAATGAGACATCCTCCTCCTGGAAAAGCTGGGATATGAAGAGCTGAGGAGCCTCCAAGTGCACTGAAAGGACAAGAGTACAATGGACACTTCTCTTAGGGCTCAAGCAACTTAAGAAGTGACACCCCCAAGCAGACTTGGCTTCTCTCATCAAAGTCTGGCCACCAACTGCCTAGGTTAATGATGATGGGTATATGGGCTTCACTTTATGATTACATTTCTGTATTTTAATTCATTTAAATAAATTAGCATGTTTGCATTATACATCATTGATAACACACAACAGTACAAATTAGAAAATTTTGATTGGCATGGGTAAATGTCTTACCAACATTAATGGGCTGTAAGTATTACTGAAACATATTTTTATACTCTTCATTATGCCCAATTCTTTGCTGGGCACAGATAAGTTATTCATTAAACATTGAAACTGAACTAAAATGAATTGCTGCAACACTCTAGTTCTACAGCTTATCGGCCATTATCTTGTATTTCAAAAGGTATACAAGAAGCTGCAGTCAATAATCACTGATCCAAGCACTAAGACACAATGTTGATTCTGAAATAATTTCCACAACTTTCAGAAATTCCTTCTTTCAGGCCAGGCATGGTGGCTCACGCCTGTAATCCCAGCACTTTGGGAGGCCAAGGCAGGAGGATCACTTGAGGTCAGGAGTTTGAGACCAGCCTGGCTAACATGATGAAACCCTGTCTCTACTAAAAATACAAAGATTAGCTGGGTGTGTGGTGGTGGGCACCTGTAATCCCAGCTACTCAGGAGGCTGAGGCATGAGAATTGCTTGAACCTGGGAGGCGGAGATTGCAGTGAGCCAAGATCACACCACTGCACTCCAGCACGGGCGATACAGTGAGACTCGGTCTCAAAAAAAAAAGAAAAAAGAAAAAAAGAAAAAAAAAAAGAAATTCTTTTTTTCAGTTTAAATGAACCAGCACACAATTATTAAAAGAAATTGTTCAGAACTTTAAGGCGTACATTTCATTTATCACCCTTCATCTTGACTTCATCTTCTTTCCTATGCTCACTTTCCTTTTGCCTTAGTTTGTTTTTCTTAATTTCATTTTAATGCATATACTTCTATAAGCCCCCTAAACCCTCTCTGTAATATGATGGGATATTTTTAAAAATCCCTAAAATCCCTTAATGTTGTGATTACTTCTTAATGTTGTGATTATTTATTTATAATGTTGGATTATTATCCAAGACCCTGCAGTTACAAGGTTGTAAGTGGAAGAAAAAGGTGTGACAATAACTGCCTAGAAAATCATTTCTAAAGAGTTCAGGGTAGCCGGCTGCAGTGGCTCATGACTATAATCCCAGCACTTTGGGAGGCTGAGGTTGGCAAATCACTTGAGTCTAGGAGTTCAAGACCAGCTTGGGCAACATAGGAAGACTTCGTCTCTACAAAAAAAAAAATTAAAAAATTAGCCAGGCATGGTGGTGCACACCTGTAGCCTTAGCTACTCAGGAAACTGAGGTGGGAGATCACTTGAACTTGGAGGCAGAGGTTGCAGTGAGCCGAGATCGTGCCTCTGTACCCTAGCCTGGGCGACAGAGTGAGACCCTGTCTCAAAACAAACAAACAAACAAACAAACAAAAAAAGAGTTTAGGGCACTTTGACTCAGTCTAGGGTTTGTGATACAGGGAGTATGTATGTGAATGTGCACATATATGTATAAAACACTACTAAAAGGACTCCAAACCCATCCTGTCTCCCTATTGACTACAGGTTTCTGAAATTAATTTTCCTGGTAAAAATAAATTTTGTGGGGCTGGGCGTGGTGGCTCACACCTGTAATCCCAGCACTTTGGGAGGCTGAGGGGGGCGGATCACAAGGTCAAGAGATCGAGACCATTCTGGCCAACATGGTGAAACCCTGTCTCTACTAAAAATAGAAAAATTAGCTGGGCGTGGTGGCATGCGCCTGTAATCCCAGCTACTTGGGAGGCTGAGGCAGGAAAATTGCTTGCACCCAAGGAGGTAGAGGTTGCAGTGAGCAGAGATCGTGACACTGCACTCCAGCCCGGGCGATAAAAGTGAGACTCCATCTCAAAATAAATAAATAAATAAATTTTGTGTTTGCTCATGCAAATAAAAAGTCTAAATGAACAAAATCTCGAGTGACACAAGGAAGTCAATGTGGAGTGGAAATATTCAGTATTGACTTTTTCTACTCAGATGTTACCTAAAAGCACAACTCTGACAGCTGAGAAAATTATAAGACAGTGTTTGACTAAGTATGACATTAATGAATCATCTGCATTCTGCAACTGCACAGAATCAGCAAGGCCATCATTTCCTTTTGCTACGCTTAGAGTAGGCATTGGATTAGATTTAGCCTAAACTCTAAAGATGGCTAGGAAAATTCCTGTGACTTCCTATAAACAAGAGGAAGGCTTTTTGTCTCCTCTTTGTGTATGCACAAATAACACAGAAGGCACACATCTAACCAGAAGGTTCTAATGATTTCATAAGGATAGAAAGCTGATTAAGAAAAAAATAATCCACAGTGCAAGAAAAATAAATACAATATTTATGTCCTGTAGGTACAGGTTGAATATCTGTATAACATACAGAATGGCAAGATCCAAGCTACTCATCGCTCACTTAGAGAAACAATCCTTGGCATAATAAAATTCTGAAAAAGAAAATAAGCTGGATGCTTCCCTGGAGTTGACAGTAATAGGCTTTGACTTATATAAAATATTACAAGAGAAGTCTTTAATCAGTCATTAAATTATATACATGGAAGGAAAACAGTCTGAGTAATCCTTTAAACTTGAAACCCTCTCCCTCTCTCTGCTTGGATTGTGTCATTCCGAAATACAGCCGTTAGACAAAAATTACCTGTAATGATGGAGAAAAGCAGAGGTGTGAAGAGATCCAAAGGCCAGGTGTTCTGCTGCCAGGCCCATGTTTCCGCACCCTGCTTCGGTCACTACCAAGAACTAACACATGTTGCTAGGTGCTTTATCACATTATCTAATTAAATGCTCTCCATAGTTCAAAGAGGTGGGAAGTATCGCTGTAATTTTACATGTGAAAAAAACGAGGCTCAGAGAACAGAAAATACTGCCTAGGTTCACACAACTAGACATAGGTAAAACCAAGATCTGAACACAGGTTTGCCTGTCACCGGAGTTCAGGCTGTTTCTGCTGAAATATGTTACCTCCCTGAGAGGAGGGGGATTTTAATCATGGAAGACTACAGGGATGGGAAGAAACAGTAGGTCTGGCTATCAGGGAGCCAGGCCAGCATCCCAAATGATGAGGGGCTCCTAGAGGCTTCAGACCGTCACCAAAGTAGACACTGTGATGTACGGCTCATCTCCGTTTACAATTTCCCACACAGCAGCAAGCAGGAACTCCTCTTAATTTTGTTCATACCTCAGTACTCTCCCACCCCAACCACCAAACAATCAGATTCATTTGATCTCAAATGTGATGGACCAGACACTCTGGCAGGTCTGATTCTGAATGACTTGGTTGGCTGTCTGGGGTGAGCCTCAACAGGTGCAAAGCACTTTAGGCACTACGAAAGATAGTTTTAACTGAGAGTTTATTTTTTAAAGGACGTCATTTCACCCTTTATTTAACCCAGTAGTTTCTTAGCTTGTAAGCGTCCAAAATCTACATCCAGTGTCACACACTGATAAGTGCTGCTGATTCATGTATAAATATCAGCCTCATGGGTAAATATTTAACAAGCTTGCTATAGCCTGAATGCTGCCCTGATCATGCTGAATAAACTAAGTAAAGTGCCATGAAATAAAAGAGTCATTATGTTTTCAGAGGGTGCAAGATGGTGGTAAGGCCTTGTGATCTCTAATTCTTTAATATTCATGAATCAAAAAATATTGGGCTGAGCATGTACAACAGGAAACTCACCCTGTGCAGAGATTCCAGGGCTCACTCAAGACATTCCCGGGACTGCAGGGCTGGCTGAAGAGAAGGCAGGGCCTGACTAACCCACTAAGTGGCTGGGGAAGAATTATGAGGAGATGAAAGGGACCACTTGGCACTGATACTTCTGATCCCCAGAGTGGTGCGGGGAGGAAGCGGGTGAGAAGGAAATCCGTGTGGCAAGGGCTCAGGCTTAACCTGGGAGGAGAAAAGGGTGATAGGGCTGTTCTGATGAGAAGGTACCTTCTCTCTCTTCATGGAATAAAATAAAACATGAAATTAGTTGATCATTCTTAGAACTGAAACTTAATCTGTGGATATAAATTAGAAGGATGAGGCCAGAGTTTTAAAATCTTTTCCAGTGGTAGGGGTAATTAAATAGATGAAAATGAAACCAGAAAAGCATTTCCAGGTCAGTCTTGTTGGCTCTAAAACTCAAATGTAAGAACTGTCTATACTGAATGTATTAATACTAGTCTTTTCCATGCAAATGAAACTAATAGAGCCCTTTGTGAACTTCGGTCTGTCTGCAAATTATCACATCTCTCATGCAGTCATGAGCCACATGCAACATTTCAGTTAATGATGGACCCCATATATGACAGTGGTCCCATAAGATTACAATACCGTATGTTTACTGTCCTTTTCCTATGTTTAGATATGTTTAGACACACAAATACTTACCATTGTGTTACAATTGCCTGTAGTATTCAGTATAGTAACATGCTGTGTATGTTTGTAGCCTAGAAGCAATAAGCTCACCAGATAGCCTAGGCGTGTAGTAGGCTCTACTATCTACCTAGGTTTGGGTTGGTACATTCTATGATGTTTGCACAACGACAATACTGCTTAATGACACATTTCTCAGAACGTGTCCTGGCCATTAAGCAATGCATGACTGTATTGAAGACTTAACTTGGCTGCAACGTGACGGCATAAAGGAATTGTTTTTATTTTGACTTAGAAAAATGCAGGGAGTCAGCCTGTCTGAAAGCTTGGCTTGGGACAATGGGGTTTTGATTCTGACCCATTATGAAACAGCAACTCCCCTTCCTCCCACGTGGGGTTTTACCTTACTGGTCAAGTAAAATGAGCAAAACATAATTTAGACTGGAGAAAATCAGAAGGGCTAGTGATTCGCAATCATAATTCTTGCTTCTATCAAGTTTTCTTTCTTTGGTTCTACTCAACTTTCTCACCAGTTCAGTGGGATAGCACCACTCTCAAAGACACCTGACCAGGCACAGTGGCTTGGGCCTGTAATCCTAGCACTTTGGGAGGCTGAGGCAGGATGACTGCTCCGGGCCAGGAGTTTGAGACCAGCCTGGGCAACATAGCGAGATCCCATCTCTAAAAAAATTAAAAATTAGCCAGGCATGATCGTATGTGCCTATAGTCCCAGCTACTCAGGAGCCTGAGGCAAGAGGATCAGTTGAGGCCAGGAGTTGGAGGTTACAATGTGCCATGCTTATACCACTGCACTCTAGCCTGGGTGACTGATTGGGACTCTGTCTCTTAAAAAAAAAAAAAAAAAAAAAAAAAAAAAAAAAAAAAAGACATCTCTCTCAAAGCATTAGAATGGTTAGAGTACCAATTAGAGTTACATTAACACAAAAATAGCACCAAGCACTCCAAGAGAGACTTTACTCTAAAAGTCTTCTCTGTCCAAGGGTCATGACAAGGCGTTGTCAGAGACATTTGGGTCAGCCTTAGCATCCTGCTTTTGCCCCTGAATTGGGTTCTGAGGGAGAGGAAGTTGACCTGGCTGCCTCCTCCACAGTATGATTCAGGAGCCGTTGGAAGTTGAAGCATGGAAAGGGGAACATCCAGGATGTAGAAACAAGCAGCCTGCAGACTCCAAGCTAAGAGAAATCCTAAAGCAATGTGTGCTGCCTTCAATCCAATTCAACAAACACTAACTGTATGCCTAACTATGTCTAAGGACTTGAGTTTCCCATTCTGAACACACGACTAGGGTACCAACGATAAGTCCTTCCAAAGTAGAGGAATGCCAGGGACCTCAAGAATCTGGGGCACTCTGTAATACTAGATTATGTTTCCTGGTGGCCTGCCAGCAGAGCCATTACCATGAAACAACTCACTGTTATTTATTGAGCTCCCACTTTTGCCAGACACTCTACTGGGCATTTTGTGATCTCTAAACCTCACAACAACCCTGCCGTGTAGACCTAATTAGCCCCATTTACAGATGAGAAAACTGACATTCTAAGAGTCTAAGTATCTTATCCAAGATAACCCAGCAAGTAAGTTGTAGAGGTGGGCTTAAACCCAGGTCTTTCTGGTTCCAAAGTCTATGTCCTTTTTCATTAGGAATTCTTTCACAGAAAGATGAAGTAGAATTTTTAAAAGTCTAATCCCTACCAATATACTGAAATAGTAGAATAAGTGATTAAAATCGTCTTCAAAGCTTTTATACATAAAATTAATCACCTTGTCATCTCACTTTTTATCATCTTAAAGATACCATATGTCACAACAAAGTAACCTGGTGGGACTAAAAAAAAATCATTCATAGTTCTGAAAACCCAGAAGAACATAAATATTAAATTAAGGAGAGGCTCCAGTTTTGTTTTCTTACTTTCTTCTTCTTTTTTTTTTTTTCCTGAGACAGGGTCTTGCTCTGTTGTCTGTGTGGTGGCGTGATCACGGCTCACTGCAGCCTCAACTTCCCAGGCTCAGGTGATCCTCCCAGCTCAGCCTCCTGAGTAGCTGGAACCACAGATGTGCACCAACATGCCTGGCTAATTTTTTTTTTTTTTGTATTTTTAGTAGGGAAGGAGTTTCACCATGTTGTCCAGGCTGGTCTCGAACTCCTAGGCTCAAGTGATCTGCTGCCTTGGCCTCCCAAAGTGCTGGGTTTACAGGCGTGAGCCATCACGCCCGGACTTGTTCTGTTTTCTAGCTAAATCTTTTTTTTCTAGCAAAGCATTTTCTAGACCTGTTGTTAGCTCTCAACTCATTTTATAGATTCAACTTTGAGCCATCTCAAGAGTGTCAGTCCTTCAGTTAAACAAAATCAGGGTGTAATTCAATATGGAGAAAATTTAAGTGAGTACAATAGGACAAGAAAATAAAAGGAGATCAGAAAGACGAGTTAAGTACACCAGTGGAAGAAAATCTGGGTATTCACATGGAATCAGAGGCTCATGGAAGCATCAATTCAGACCTGGCTGTATTACATTTGTGACTAATCTAATATTTCTACTAAACACACTTTATAGCTGTAAGTAAGGACTCTGTGAGAGTACTGTATTCCACTTTTTGTTTCTCACTTTTAAAGGGACATATAAAAATGGAAATGTTGAGACAATGACAACTATGATTAAGCACTCAGAAAACATTCCTCCTTGGAGCAAAGTCTAAAAAAGTTGAAATGGCTAAGTTAAATAACTTTAAAAATACACCATTATTAAATGGAGTAATTAAAAATATGGGCCGGGTGCAGTGGCTCATGCCTGTAATCCCAGCACTTTGGGAGGCCAAGGCAGGTGGACCACTTGAGATCAGGAGTTTGAGACCAGCCTGGTCAACATGGTGAAACCCCGTCTCTACTAAAAATACAAAAACTAGCCAGGTGTGTGGTGGTGCACACCTGTAGTTCCAGCTACTTGGGAGGCTGAGGCAGAAGAATCACTTGAACCTGGGAGGCAGAGGTTGCAGTGAGATGAGATTGTGCCACTGTACTCCAGCTTGGGTGACAGAGCAAGACTCTGTCTCAAAAAAAAAAAAAGAAAAAAAGAAGGCATACTACTATATGGATAATTTTGATCAGCTGTTCTCTGATGAGGCACAGTATAAATGAGAAGAGTTTAAAAGGCATTAAGAGGAATTTAGTTGGTAAATGAATTCTCCACAGAACAGAGTAGTGAATAATAACTCCATTTACTAAGCACTAATGCATCATGTCCTGTATTAAGTGCTTTTCCTCTATGATATCATCTATTCTTCATATCAACCTATGAGAGAAGTGTTATCCCATCTTACAGATGAGAGCACGGGAACTTCAGAGAAGCTATAGAACCTCTCTAAGGTCATATAGGTGGTAAATGACAAAGAGGCATCGAACTCCAGGTTTCTCTCACTTAAATCTACCCCACTCTTAGGTCTCTGGTTATCACTTTTGTGACTTCTATGTCCTTATCTGCATACTTGACATCTGGTTCCACATGTGACTTGGGTGTTTTAGTAGATGCCTGGGCTGGCCAAGTCCTTGAGGGTGTTTCCAGGAATATTTATTAAACTTATTTTGGTACCTGAACTGAAGTGATTAGTTCAGGGCCAGAGGACTTGATGGACACTTTCCAGTAGAAAGAAGGTGGAATGCAAGCAAAGAACTTTACATTTAAAAAATATGAAAGATGAGACTATTGTAATTGCAAACAGAGTATGTCTAATGGCATGAACCCTAACCAAGTCTTTGTTCAGAAATGTGTTTTGTAAGTTTGTTAACATCTCAAACAAGCCTTTAAGAGGGCAGTAATCTTAACAGATGTCCACCATCAGGATTTTCTTAGCATGTGGAAAAGTATTTTAAGTAAGCCCCCCAAAACAATAACAGACTTAGCAGATGTTGTTCTACTAAGAGTTGGTATGAACTACTTGTAATGATGCCCAGTCACTCAAGACACGAAAAGGGTAAGGGGAAGAAAAGTTTTTTTTTTCTCTTGTTGCATCTTGATTCCAGGCCTACTACCTGCTGTTGATTGCATTACAGTTTCTTTAAGAAGTGAAACTATTTTCAAAAGCCAGAGGTCAGGAGTGAGTGAATTTACTATGAGTTTGTTATAAAACTCCAATGAATGGCTTTACTGCTCTTAAATAGGTACAGATCACTTTTCCTATGAATTACCTTTAAAATATTTTCCCTGGAAAAAAAAACAGTGCATACAATAGTTATCCTAGACTAACCTACAAACATTTTTCTAACTCCTTCTTTCTCACTGCACACATGTTTTAATGATGGTCCAAGAAAGATGTAGAGAACAAGAAAAAAGCCTTCTGCCTTTCCAGGACACAGAAGGGTATCTACCTGATTTCTATTACCTGGTATTTACTAAAAGTTCAGGCACATAAATAGCACTAGGTAACTTCACGTGCACATCACTGGTCTCTGTGTTCAAGAAGTCAATCTGTAGGTAGCTAAAGCTTGACCTCCACATGAAAATGAAAAGATACCAGAAGATGAGATTAGCACAGGTTTCCAAAGTGCTCCTTGCTTGAGTTTTTACAACACCTTTACAAAACAGGTAGCAAGTGTCAACATACTCATTGTAGAGAGAAGAAAGAAACCTGAGGCTTGAGATGGATGATTTGTCCAAGCTGGAAACAGTGAAACTGGAATTGTAATCTTTCTCTGTACCTGGAGTTTTCATATTTGCTTAAGAATAATCTGGAGGGGGTGGGAGGGCTTGTTAAAAACTCAGATACCCAGATCCCACCCCAAAGAAGGCAATTTACTAGGTTTATTCAGCAGGTCGGAGGTGAGACCTGGGAATGTGCATGCTAACCTGTTCCTTAGTGGATGCAGGTGGTCCTCACACCACAGTTTGAAAAAATACTGCTCTAGACCTCATGCAATGATGCACGGCCAGGGCTGGAATGGGAAGGGGTGTGGTCAATGCAAATGTGCCTCCCATCCCCGTGGCATGGGATCACTGACTACTTGAAAGGCACTGTGGACAACAGGAAGGTAAGGAAAACACAGGTCTGCTCTTAAGGCCTAGTATGGGAGATAAGACATTTATTGAAACTACCAGAAAAAAGGTGGTTTCTGCCAGATGTACACATGGGTAAAATGAGTGTGGTTATATTCAGGTAAACAGAAGGCAAGGCAAGGAAGCAGTCAAATCAAAACTGAGGCTGGAAGTAACGAGGACACAGACACTACTTAACAAGGCAGGGCAATGGATCCGAGGCCAGGTTCTCAATGTGGACAGCAGACCATGCGTCCTGCACCACACCGAGCAGCTTTTTGCCCATTGAGAAAGGCATATTTCATATTTCAGGCTGCCCAGGGTGCCTACTGGTGAGGGGTATCTACCTAGAGAGGAAGCAAGAACAGGGATAGATCCTGATGCGATGCCAATGGTGAACTGCAAAGGAAAGAAAACGTGAGGTTAAAAAAATAAAAAGTTCTGTTTAGTTGTAAAGTGAGAGATGTTCTGGAGATTAAAAAAAAAAATCTGGGCTTTGAGATTGAATCTCAGCCAGGTTCACTGCTGAAATTTCTCCTTTAAACTAACAAATTCTAAATGTTATCTGTCTGGCTCAGGCCTTTCTTGAACTCAGAACTTGTAACTCAACCTGCTCACAAGCAACCCTGCCCCCAAAACCTACTCCCATATCCACCTCATCTCAGAAAATGGCAGCTTCTATCTCTTGGTTCCCAGACCAAAAACCTCTGTCATTGCTGACTCCTTTCTCTCACACCCCATAGTCAATTGGCCTGGTTGGCCTAAGAGGCGCCCACTGAGAGCAGGGCTCAGAACCTACTGAACTTCTCACTGGGGCTAAAACCTCCCTGGATAAGCTGGGGCAATTTCACCTCAGGGCACTGGCCCAGTTCTCCTGCTGTTCTCTCTGCCTGGAACTCTTCCCAGCCATTTGCGGGGCGGGCTTCTTCACCTGCTTCAGGTCTTACTCAAATGTCAGCTTCTGAGTGAGGCTTCCTGAACCATCTATTTAAGATAAGCCCCTTCCATCTCTGGTACTTGGTCTTCTGTGTTGTCGTTTTCTCCGTGGCATAAGACATTCTACACGTATTCACTCATCATCTCCCCCCATGACTCCTCACTAGAATATAATCTCCTCCAGAATGAGGATCTGCCTCTGTTTTGTTCACTTTTATAACCTCATTATTCTTAGCAAGAATAATGCCAAGCATATTAGACACTTAAAAAATATTTGTAGTATTAAAGTCCAATGAATATAAAAAAGAGATGGAAGTCAAATTTCTAAATGAACATTAAAAGCCAATAAATGTATATATCTTTATGGAAATAGTCATTATGGAAAAGAAGAGTTTAACGGTCTTGGAAAGGGATTGGCAAACTTTTTCAGTAAAAGGCCAGGTAGTAAATATTGTCATCTTTGCATCCATAATGCCTGTATTGCAGCTACTTAGCTCTCCTGCTGAAGTGCAAAGGCAGCCGCAGATAATATGTAAATGAATGAGCACGGCTGTGTTCCAACAACATTTTGTTTATGGATACTAAAATTCAAGTTTCATGTAATTTTTACGAGTCATGAAACATTATTATTTAAATATTTTTCTAACCATTTAAAAAATGTAAAAGTCATTCTTAGCTGTGGGCTGGATTTGGCCAGGAGGTTTTAGTTTGCTGACTCTTGATCTAGGATTATAGAAATATTTGACAGTTCTACAGATGCTGAAAGTACGAAAAGTATCCAGGAAGAAATATAGGCAAACCCCACCCCCCTAGAATAGGTTATTAGCAAAAATGAAAAGAGGCCCTTTGGTCAAACTTCTTAGAAGCTATATTCCATCAGCAGGTAAACCACAGGAATTAGCTTTTTTCA
This sequence comes from Homo sapiens, assembly GCF_000001405.40. NCBI lineage: Eukaryota > Metazoa > Chordata > Mammalia > Primates > Hominidae > Homo > Homo sapiens. The sequence continues at coordinate 28,225,780 of NC_000002.12, read as the reverse complement.
GGCAAGGGTGAGGTGAGCATTAGGCAACTCGTGGACTGTGGGAGTTCTCACAACCATACTAGATTGTAACTGTGCAAGAGGGAGCTATTTATATGATTTTGAACGAAGCTTGAGGCATATTCTGGTGCTTTTTAACTTCTATGTTAGGTGAAAAAGCTGCCTACAAAAGCCTTCCTCCCACCCAAAATACTAGCTGTTAGTTGGTGACTGATCCTCAGAAATATTAACATGAATCATATATGCTCTTTTCACAGTGCAAAAAGAGATAATTTTAACACTCAGAAAATGTCATAAACCACACAATAGAGAAGCTATCCAGCCTTCAAATTGTAAATAAATAAAATCCTGTTCCTGCATGGAAGCCTCTTCCTCCTTTCGATTCTGATGCTTCCTCCTCTGGATTCTGATGCCTGCAGGGCTGGCTGGTGTTAACCGTGTTCAGTCTGATGCTGAAGGCAGCCTTTGCTCTCCATCCTTCCTCCCTGGCGCCCACCCTTGTTAGCCCGACTGTCTTTGGGAACCCATAGCACTCAGCCTTGCCCTTTCTCTAGCTGCTGCTCTTCTCACCTACAGACAGCTTGTGGCTGCCCTGTCTCTACTGCGATCAGCCCGGGTTGGCCTAAGCAGCACCAGCTGAGAGCAGGGCTCAGCCTTTATCCAGGCTTCAGGAAAGAACCCCTGAGTTAATTTTCTTCTTCCTACTTGGAGAAACAGGTATTTTTGTCTTTGATCCCTAAGCTCTGTTTTCTTTCTCTTGTTACTAAACAGTTCACTCCCTATCCACTCTCCTTTTTTTGCAACTTCATCATTTTTCCACATTGCACCGTTTGGCACAGGAGAAGGAAAGAACCACATCAAATAAAGGAATGCAACCACAAAAGCTGCCTTGAGAAACAGGGCCCCAGATTTTTTTTTTTTTTTTTTTTTTTGTCAATTTACCGTTTTTGGACTTGTTCTCCCATAATCAAATCCTCCCTATCGTGCTAACAATGTGGTGGTGTGTCAAAACATTGGAATTCTGCTTCAATCAGCAACCCAGAGCTTAATAGGAAAATGAAGCAACAAAATGTTGCTCTTACTGTTAACCTTAGGCTAGGCCTGTCCTTAGGATGGGGACTGTTTGCTTCTTTATGGTAAATGGGCCAAACGTTCAGTTTTGTGAGAGCTTGCATTGTCAGCAGAGGCCCACAGCAGTGTCTTGAGCACCATTCAGGCACGCTTCTAAAGCTCAAGTACCGCAAACTGAAGTACGAAGCATCCCACAATTTAGTAAGCCAGAGAAGAGTTAAGACTAAATTTGTTTGCAAAAATTTTAAAGACACATTCATTTTACTGGCAGCAAGTCAGGGGTCTGGCTCTATGACACTCATGTCTGCAGTTATCACAAAAGGGCTTGCGTGAAATTAAAGTGGTTGTTTTGTTTCTTGTTTTTAAATTAAAAATGTGTGCAATATGTAAACCATTTAGGGACAACAATAAGGTGCCACAATTCCAAACCAAAACATTTGCAAGTCACCACTCTATGTCCTCAGGGAGTATGTGATATAGTTAATGTTTCTAATATTCATCATCAATGAAAACATCAGTTACAGGTAGAGAATTTCTGATTTAGCAATTTTTTAATCTTTTGTGATTAACTGGGTAAATTAAACTGTTTGAAGGTAAGTATTTTTGTTGTTTTGGTTTGGTTCACATGGAGTCATGTGCCACTTTGGTTAATGTGGGAAATAGCCTCTTCTTCAACATCATCTGTTGCATATACAAGCAGTGAGTAGAAGTGTATCTGTCCCTGAACACCAAAGTAGTGTGACCTCCCTTCAGAGATTTCTCTTGGGGAGAGAGGAAGGGGTGGGAGGAGACATACCTTTTCTCCCACCCTTGTTCTAGCATAGCATATTGGAATCTCAGGGTGGAGAAATGTGTTATTTGAAAAGAAGGAAAAAAGCTCATAGCTGGTTCTGATATGGACTAAAAGGACAGACTACCTGACTGCCCCACCCCTGAGAAATGCTGTTTCAACCATACAGAAGGAATCTTCTATCCTCAGAAGTTAAAGACCTCAGTTAATAGGTAAAGTTGCTGCTCTTCTAATTTTGGCAACATTCAGCCTGGCCCCAGTTCTACCTTGAAGAGCCGAGTTATTGGTGTCATTCCAGTTGCCCATTGATCTTCCTGTCCCCTCTGGAGACCTCTACTCTCACTCCCACCACAGCTGCCCAATAAGCAGAGAGTACGATCAAGTCAAGGCGGTGAACAATGAAGGGAAGAAGGGCAGAGCCAGTTTAAGGGGCTGTAGGCAGGTGCTTGCTTGTAAGGACCCTCTCTCCTCCCCATTCTGCTGATGCAGCTCAGGTGCCAAGCCCGGGTGCCTGGCCCTGGTGCCAGCTACTGCCCCAGGAAATGTCCACAAAGGTGAGCATGGGGAGCAGGACACAGACACTGGATGGGGGCACTGTCCCCCTCTGCAGTGTGCTCCCCAAACCAGCTGGAAAGCAGGAGGAACCATTTTCTGGAGCAGACTGGGAAGAGGGAATTGAGGAGGCTATAAGTGTGGTTAGTGTTTTAACAAAAATAAGATATATTCAGTAGATTGCTATCATTTCAAAAACATTTGATCTTACTAAATATCCTGTTTACTTAATAACAGGGAAGTGGGAGTTCAGTTCTGTTAATATCCATCTGTGCAAAACTAGGAATCTATTTCTAAATAACATAATTTATTTACCTGCATCTTTTACTTTTAAAAAATATCCACTAATTTAAATACTATTTTTAGCCAATTCTCTAAAATAGATGATTCAAAACAGCCACAATAGTAACAAGGGCCCACACTTCCCCAGACAGAGTGCGGGGCGGGCCTGCGGGGAAGCAGGGCCAGGGTGCCTCATGGTCCAGGCTGCCTAGAACTCAGGGGAACCTGTACTGAGGCGCCTGATAACTCCAGAAGATGGATGTGTTTGCTTTCTTTAAACCAGTGACACAAGACACAACAGAAAGGGAAAGATTTAGTCAGGAAGAGAAGGGGTTCTGGGAACTGTAGACAAGGACAATGCCAATTTAATTGGCCAAATATAATTGAGGTTGGCCTAATAACTTTTTTGGAAACCACTTTCTTGGTTGCTTGAGAATTTGGATTGCTACTGTTTTCTTAAGGCTTCAAAACCAAAACACTAAACATGTACTAATAGAGCAGTATTAATAGCACAAAGGGGAATGCAAACATGACTTATGAGAAAAGTTGTATGGCTGGCCCATAGCTATTATCTCCTGCCCCTGCAGCATGTGAAGGTATCAATACTGCATCCATGGCATCAATGGGCCGAAAGTAGTTTCGCTCAGACTCACGTGGAATCACATGTTGAATATTCATAGCTTCACTTCTGGAAGCTATGACTGTTTTACCCTGTATGGCAAATGGGACTTCGGTGAGATGTGATAAAGGTTAAGGACCCCGACATGAGGAGATTATCTTGAATTCTCTGGTTGGGCTCTCCATCAATCTAGGCCTCTTGGTGTAAGGATTCAGTTCAAGACACTCTTAACTCTCAGGATTCCTAGTACTCTCCAAAAATAACACTTCCACAGAACCCTGTGTAGGCATTTAGAGTCTTAGAGGAGAGGGCAGGGAAGGGTTCACAACTTCTGGGCCATCCGGCAAGTGCTGAGCATGAGAATATGTAAGGTCCACCACAGAGCTTCCGGCCATTCGATGGGGCCCCAGGCTCACATCAGCACCTCCCTTTCCCAACAAGACCAAGACTGCTTCTCAATACAGTCTGGGGCTAACTCAGGACAACTTGCTTTTCTGGATGTTTCCTCATTTCATTAGGAACCAACTTGGGATCAGGGTCACTCTGGAGCAAGGCGAGCCCTTAAGTTCGCTCCCATCACATTCTGAAACTGTTAAGCTGCAGGCATGCTCATTGCCTGAACAACAAACACACCAACCCAACTCTAGACTTGAAACAGAGATTGGGCATATTCTGAGTGACTTCTGCCTCCTAGGCAGGCGAAGGACTGAAGACAAACACTGGAGAGAATAAATGACAAGTTCATATGAGTAGAACCAAATCACAAATGTAAACGACAAATTTCAATCAACAACAGGGGAGCTGAACACATTATAGCAAAGTCTTCCAGTGGAGTACCATACAGCCACCAGGAAGATAGCAGCCTTCAGGTTCTGAGGGCCACTTAAAAAATACATTCATTATTTCCATTCAGACAAATGGCCATGATATATTGGATAGGAAAAATGCAAGCTGCAGAATAGTATGTAATATGTCATACATTTTTTTGTGGCTAAATTAAAGCAACAACAACAACAACAACTAAATAAATAAATACCCCAAACTGATTTAATAGGGCAACACTGCAAACATACTAAATCGACGTACTTCGTGTTTCTCAGTAAATCATGTTTCCCCCCTGCACTTTCACTGAGGCTAAGACTTGAGGCCCACTGTCCCAAGGAAGAGGGTGGCACCACCCAAGTCAGAGAAATGCCAGCACAGGGAAGAAGAAGGATGTGGCACCGGATGAGCACATCCCTCAGACAGGAATGGAAAGAAACAAAAGCAGAAAGGGGAGAAGTTTAGAGGGAAAAGGGACTGCCTGGTGTCCCAGAGGTTTTCCTTGGGTCTCAGTGGAGAGAGAGAGAGAGAGAGAGGAAAAAAGGGAAAGAGAGAGAGAAGCAGCGGTGGTGAAAGGAGAGACACCTAGGTTAACTGAGGGAAATCCAAGTGAGGAGTTTTTTACTTCACTTCCCACTTGGGAATCGACGAGATCATCTTGCAGAGGAAGGGAGTATTACAGTAAGACACATGATCACGTTGCATTTTGTATAGTTGTTCTTTTTTTTGACAGGGTCTTCCTCTGTCACCCAGACCAGAGTGCAGTGGCACCATCACAGCTCACTGCAGCCTTGACCTCTGGGGCTCAAGTGATCCTCCTACCTCAGCGTCCTAAGTAGCTGGGACTACAAGCATCACACCTGGCTAATTTTTGTATTTTTTGTTGAAGCAAGGTCTTCCTATGTTGCCCAGGCTGGTCTCAAACTCCTGGGATTAAGCAGACTGCCTGCCTTGGCCTCCCAAAGTACTGTGATTACAGGTGTGACCCACCACACCCAGTTGTATCCTTGTTTTATTTATTTTTTTTTTGGTTGGTATTGGAAAGCTATAACTGACACATATTACTTTTGTAATACGAGAGACAGAGATAGAGACAGACATAGAGATGGAGAGAGAGAGAGAGAGGCACTAAGGTATATAAGAACACAGTTTGATTGTGAAGTTGAGCTTTTTTAATTCCCAAAGACTATGGAACTCTATGTTATTGATCTAAAATCTACTACTATTTAGAAGAACATCAATAGCAGCTAACACATAATGAACATTTTCCATGAGCCAGGCATTATATTAAGAGCTTCTTTTATTTATCTTTATTTAACCCTTACAAAAGCCCTGTAAGGTTGATATATTGTACAAATAGCAGTAAGGCTTGGGAGGTTAAGTAACTGACTCAAAAGAACTCATCCAGTAAATGACGGACACAGGACTGAACCAGGCCATCCGATTTCTGAACCCACACATTCCGCTGCTGCGCTACACACTGCCTCCCACCACAGACCAGCTGGGCTTCGACAATCAGTTCGTTTTGCTGGTGTGTATAACATCAAAAGATCCAATCTTACCACACAAACTTGTTTGGTACAAAATGAAGAAGAAATAGTGACTAGCTAGTGAAAGCACGTCGTCAGAAACAGGCCCAGGTGCTGAGACAAGTGAGGGACAAAATTCAGGAAACAGCAGCACTGAGCCACAACTCATCCAGTATCATTTTTTCTCACCGGCCCTGATTTTTCTCACCAAAGTCCCTGCAGCCAGCAGCAGCACAGCTTCATTTTGCAGCAGGGACACTTGAGCATTAAACCCTACGTGCTTGCTTGGCTCCGCAGCGGCTCAAGCAACCTTCAAGCACTATTTTTGAGGCTCTGTTACGACAACATCATCTCTTCAGCCCCCACTCTTGATTACAAGCCTATTTCTTTTAACTAAACATAAAGCAATTTCTCACTGAAGCTTCTTTGCTTGTAATCCTCTACCCGGTTTTTTTTTTTTCTGATTAAACAGAAAGAAGTAAGCTCCTAGCACAAGCCTTGAACACAGGTAGGCATTTGTGGTAGGCAGAATGATGGCTCCCCAAAGCTGCCAAACCCTCATTTCTGGAAGCTATGAATTTTTTACCCTACATGGCTAAAGGGACTTTGGTGAGATGTAATAAAGGTTAAGGACCCCGACATGAGGAGATTATCATGAATTATCTGGTTGGGCTCTCAATCCATCTAGACACACGAGTCCTTAAAAGTAGAAGAGGAAAACAGAGGAGTGAGTCAGAGAAATATGATGACAGAAGAAGAGGCAGGAAAAACTTGAAGCATGAGAGGGACTGGACTTGCCATTGCTGGCTTGAAGGAGGAAGGGGGCTATGAGCCAAATAAGGACAGCAGCCTCTAGAAGCTCAACTGACCTCCGCAAAGGACCAGATCTCAGTTCTGTGACTGCAAGGGACTGAACTCTCTGAACAACCTGAAAGAGTAAGGAAACAGATTCTCCACTAGAGTCTCCAGAAAGGAATGCGGCCCACTGGCACCTTGACTGTAGCCGCAGGAGCTCTGCACTGGACTTCTGTTCTACAGAAGTGTAAGATAATCAATTGGCATGGGTTTAAGCTGCTAAATTTGTGGTAATTTGTTACAGCAACAGTAGAAATCTAATATAGCATTCAAAATACAACTGTTTTTTGATGGAAACATGATGAAATGAGGCTTTGTTTATGCAGCAAAATAATGACAGTAATGGTGTGTGTCCCATTGAATAAAACAGAATCAATAAATCCCCTCTGAAACACATATGTTAATGGATAAATAAATAAATGAGGAAAGCTCTTCTTTACAGTAGAAAGCCAACTAATAAACGTAGTAAGAAAGATGCAGCTGAAGAATCATCAATGGCTGTCAAAACTAGTGGGTGAAAGTCTGAGGAAGACATTTACATAGTCTCAACACATCACTCCACGGAGTTCTTATTAAAGAGAAAACTAGTAACATTAGAGTGCAGAAACCACAGAGACACCACTTAACCAGGTGATCAAAGTCAACATCACCAATCCCGGGACAAACTGACATCATGTGACTTTTGATATGTTATACTCAGGACAGACACATCATGTCACACATATAAATCCGATTATGAGGAAGCATCAAATGAACCCAAATTAAGGAACAAGATGACTGATATGTACTCTTCAAAAATGTCAAGGTCAAGAAAGATAAAGATTAAGAAACTGTTCCGGATTTAAAAAATAAAGAGATATAACAGCTAAAGACAATGTGTGATCTGGCTTGGATCCTGGTCCAGGGTAAAAAATAGCTAACAGGGTTATTAGTGAAACAACTGACACAATTAGAATATGGACTGTGGATTAGATAATAGTACTGTGTCAATGATACACTGCCTGATTTGATAACTGCACTGTGGTTATATAAGAGAATGTCCATGTTCTTAGGAAATACATTCTGAAACATTTAGGGGTGAAGTACAATGTGGCCCCAATTTACTCTCAAATAGTTTAGGAAAAAAATGAGCAGATACAAAAATGTAAGTACATAGAGAATAAATACATAAGGCAAATGGGGCAAAATGTAAACAATTAGGGAATCTGTGTAAAAGGAATAAGACAGTTCCTTGTTCTATTCTTGCAACTTTTTCTCTTTTAAGTTTAAATATCAACATAAAAAGTTACACAAAAATCCCTGTAAACTACCCTTTAAATTTTTATGTTTATATTAGATCCACTGTTATATGATACAGAGAATTTTAAGAAAGAAAATATGAGTTCAATGAGTTTAGTTTTCTCGAACACTGTAACTGGCTAGGTGATTTTTTTCAATTAATGCTGTTAATATGTGATAATGCCTTGCACACAGTAGGCAAGCAATAAATACCTATAGACTGAACATCAAGCAATTTACTTCTAGTAGGAAAGTCAGCATCCCAAGTAAAAGCATGGAGATATATGGCATGATATGACATAAAAACTTTAAAAAAATTAAGCTGAAGTGTGAATGAACCAGAAAAATGAGGTGGTTAAGCACCCTTGCTCTGAAATTGGACTGGCAATGTAGAGTTGAAATTCAGTTTCATCACTTAGTATACTGCCCCTGGGGCAAGTTGTTTAAAACATCCCTAAGCCTCAGTTTGCTTATCTATGAAATGGGGATAATAATTAGGTTCGCAGGGCTACTGTGAAAATTAAAGAATCACTCTCCAAGTGGTCCCTTCCTTACAGTTCAACTGGATGCTCAGAAATGCTCTTGTTGAACAAACTGACCCATACAGTACTTTTGAGTATAGATTGTTCCTCACACATAAAATGCCTCTGAGCATTATTTCTGCCCAGCCATATCCACTGTCTTCCAAAGCACTTAAATCAGTGCCAATTTATGAAACTTTTCTTGACCATTATGATATTCAATCACTCTATGACTCATTCATTCAACAAATATTAACAGATATGACAGTAAACAAGACACTGCCATATCCTACTCTCATAGAAAAGTATATGCTAATAAGAGACAATGCAATAATAATATAAGAAAGAAACAGAAATATCATAATGTCAAAGAGCATGACAATGGATGAGGGCAGACGGCAGGTGGCAACTTTAGGGCAATCGGGGAAAGCCTCTCTGTGGAAATAAATTTAAACTGAGACTCAAATGATAAAGTGGAGCCAAACATGTAAAGAGGTGGAGAAATGACCTTCTGGCAGAGCGAATGTGAAGTACAAAAGCCCTGAGGTGGAAATGAGGCTGAAGTGTTTGAAACACAGAAAGGGGCCAGTGTGGCCAAAGTGGTGGGTATCGGGGAGGTGGGAGAAGAAAGAGTCAAATGTCCAGGAAAAGGCCAGATTATGAAGGAGAGGGTAAGTTACTGGGGTTTTATTCTACATCCACGATAGGGTTTTATAACTGTTTCTTTCTTCTTATGGTGAATATTTCATGGGCTTCTCTGAGCTCTCTACACAGTAGGTGCTTAATAAATACTTGTGAGTGCATAAGGTAGAAAATAAGCTAGGAGGGAAATGGAGCCAACACTCTGTACGATATTGGATGTTGGCTTCTGTCACTAACACGTACACATGCTCCATCAACCTGAACTTCAGATCAATAGGTCTGTTATACTGCATGAAAACAGAGTTGTCATGGCAACTCTAATTAGATGGTTTTCATTCCAAGGAAGATGAACTAAATACTGCAATTACAGGCTGGTTTGGTTCTCTAAAATACCTGCAAAAATTGCAATCCTCTACCAGTTGGAACATTTAGTACAAGAAGTACCCAATTTACCAACAAAAGGAGTCACTAGAGTTGGCTTATTTGTTAGGAGTTTACAGAATGCATTTTCCTCTAGAAATAATATTGTAAAGGAGGCTAGGTTCTTAGGACAACACATGAAAACTTCTTAAAAATTCATAAAGTGGCAGAAATACTGTACATTTGCACTGAGAAAATAATAGAAATAAGTTCTTTTAAAATATGGCAATTAAACAAAAATTAAGTCAAAGCTTTTAACTTATCATGATGCTGTTATTTGAAGAAAATAAAGTTTAATTAGAAGAAAATTAAGAGAGAAGTGGAAAATTTAGTGAAGATTCTATTAAATAATTCTGGGCACCATCAAAGCTTTTAGAGGTTAATGTCATTGATTTCAAAATTAGCATTACTTTGGATTCAGGTGTCTCTGAGAGAGCTTAGTCAAGATCATGGTCCTTTTGGCTCAGAAACAGGAGAGTAAAACATGAGTGGGGCTACCCTGAGGTTCCTCAAGGAAATGGAAAACATTAAAGGGAAAGCTGGCTTAAAATACAGTTACAGGGTAACTATGAAAACCTGAAAAAGTAAAATGAGGGAGAAAGGAAAGGAGGAACTCCCATGAGAGCAGAAAGAAGCAGAGGGGCAGAAACTGGTTCACCTATGACAGCTTGATTATTACCTAAAAAACAGGGAGTGAGAAAGACAGAGGGAAATGGGTAGGAGAGAGAAAGAGAAAAATAAATGACAAAGGGAAGGAGTGGAAGGGTAAAAACCAAAGACTGATGGTCTTGGATGGATGCAAGATAAAAAAGTTTTCATTCATTTATTCAAACAACGAGATGTTTGAAAATTAAATAGCACATTCTTCTAAAATGAATTATGTACTTCATATAACCCTGTGTCATCCCAAATGCCCAGCAGAATGCTTTGAATGTAAGAGAGTTTAATAAATTGTTAAACATATCAGTGCTGCATCAACAACAGCTAACACATATTAAATGCCCATAAGTATGAAGCCTCTTACATACATTATCTCATTTAATCTTGACAACATTAGATGGTTCTTAGCCCTATTTTAAAGTTGAGGAAACTGAGGCTTAGACAAGTTAAAGAGTTTGCTTAAGGTCCCACATAACTAGTAAATGATAAAGGCCACATTAGAACAAAGTCTGGTTCCAAAGTGCACACTCCTAATCCCTTGCTCTCTACCTACCTCAATAAATATTACTATGAAAGGAGAAAAACTACAAAATCCAGAACCTTACATGAATCTATATATTGGATTAAATTGTACAAAGCTACACACAAACACACACGCAGAAGTAAATGCAGTGAAAAAGATGGTGAAAACTGACTAAGGTCTAGTCTAGTTAGCAGTATATAATAAATTCTGCTTGACATTCATTGATGTAGAATTAACAATAATATGAATTCATATCCCAAATTGCTTTCTCTGGAATCTTTCTCCTTTTATCATATTTAAGCATGGCAATATGGGGCCTGCAAGGAGTGCTTGGGGAGGGCAACAGTCACAGGAAAAATTTCACTTGCCAAATTGCATAAGCATTATCAGAAGAAGCATTTCACAAAATCCAACACAATTTGTGATTAAAAAAAAAAAACTTCAGCAAACTAGGAATAGAGAGGAACTTACCCAAGCTGATAAAGAACATCAACAAAAATCTTACAGCAAACATAATACTTAATGACAAAAACTAAATGTTTCCCCACCTAGGATTGGGAACAAGGCAAGAATTGTCTGCTGTCACCACTCTTATTCAAAATGGTATTGGAAGTCCTAGCCAATGCAATGAAGCAAGAAAAAAGGCATACGTATATCAGAAAGGAAAAAATAAAACGGCCCTTATTTGTGTAAGACATGATTGTCTACAAAGAAAATTCCAAGGAATCTATAAAAACACTCACAGAACTATTCTCATGAACACAAGGTCAACAAGATTGTTGGACACAAAATCAACACACAAAAGTTAATCGTATTACTATATACCAGCAATGAACACATGGAAATCAAAATTAAAAATGTAATATCATTTTTATTTGCTCTCAAAAAATAAAAAGAAATACCTAAATATAATGCAAATACAAAGAGGCAGCACAAGAGACTTCTTTTGTGGTGATAGAACAGTTCTGTATCATGATTGTGGTGGTGTTTACATGAATCTATATATCAGATTAAATTGCACTAAGCTACACACACACACACATATACATACACACATGTGAATGCAGGTTAAAAAGATGATGAAAACTGACTAAGGTCTAGTCTAGTTAGCAGTAACATGCCAATGTCAATTTCCTGATTCTGATTATTGCACGGCAGCCATATAAAATATCACCAATGAGGGAGCCAGATGAAGGATGCATAAGACTCTGCACCATTTCTGCTAACTTCCTGCCTTTATTTCAAAATAAAAAGTGCTGTTTTTTTTTTTTTTAAAGCAAGTTAAAGTTCTAGTAATGGATCTTCTCCATTTCTAGAGTACTTTTAAAAAACATAGAAAACCAAGTAAATTTCATCTCCTGGTTTCCTTTTACAGATAAAAAAAGTGGCTTTTTATATCCAAGCAATCAATGATAGAACCAAGCATGAGTTCCAGTAAAGGAAGAAAGAAACAACAATAATAAAAACTTAGAGTGCTTACATTAGACATATAAATAAACCAAAAATGTATTTTAATTCTGATGTTCCATATCTATTACTATTTTTTAATCCTATAATATACATCTTAAGTTCAATTTTTTAAAAAGAAATGGGATATAAGCATATTTTAATAAAGTAAAGCAAAATTTAAATAATTAGTAGAAGTTAATTAGGTCTGATCTGGCAAGAAATTAATTATATTCCTTATTAATATTATATACTCCCCCTTTTCTCAATATAATACAGCATTCCCACCCTTGGTCTCACTAAATGCTCTATGTTACTCATATATTAAGTTACTGAAATTCCATTACTTCTAACAATTTGCATGTATGTCTCAAAAAGGTAGGCAAACGCCTCTATTTCTTATGCAAACTACCGCTGTAGATCAAGAAAGCTCCTATATAGTATCCACTGAGTTCTTGGTAGCTTCTTTAGTGTTCAGTTTCTTACCAGATCCCCAAATAGACATCTCCATATAAAAGCTTAATAATTTTTTAATTTTTTTTTTTTTTGAGACAGGGTCTCGTTCTGTCACCCAGGTGGAGTCCAGTAGCATGATCTGGGCTCACAGCAACCTCCATGTCCTGGGCTCAAGTGATCCTCATACCTCAGCGTCCTGAATAGCTGGGACCACAGGTGCGTGCCACCACACCCAGCTAATATTTGTATTTTTTGTTTGTAGAGACAGGGTCTCACTATGTTGCCCAGGCTGGTCTCAAACTCCTGGCTGGGCTCAAATGATCCACCCACCTTGGCCTCCCAAAGTGCTGGGATTACAGGTGTGAGCCACTGTACCCAGCCATAAAAGATTAATAATTGCCTAGCACCTTTTGGTAAGCCTCTTGGGCTGTAGCTCAAATTAAAAGATCTAAGAATTACCCTCAGTAAGATTTTATGATTTCAGGAACACAGTTCTAATACTTCTCATTTTAACAGCATTGTCAATAACATTGTTAAGTGTCACCTGATACTGGACAATGTTTTCTAGAATAAAAATCTCTACTATTTTACATTAAAAATTGAACTACTATCATTTGCCCAAAAATGAGGGGGTCGGGAGCAGGAGATAAGGAAGGATTAGTTTCAAGGATAAAAAGAATATATACTTATCAAGTGACTCTGGCCTAAAAAACTACTTTTAATGTTGATGCTAAAGATAAACTAGAAATATTATATTTTTAGAATACACGCTCATATTATCTGATAAATGTAGGAAAAAAATTCCAAAGGATATAAGAAACTTAAAATGTAATTATCTGGGACTTGGTCTGATGAGGGAGAGGGTAAAAGAGAGACTTCACTACATCTCTTTTATAATTACTAAGGTTTGAACCATGAGAATGTATTATGGATGAAAAAACCTAAATTAAAAAACAAGTGTGCAGTTCCTCTAGAACAAAAGAATTGCTAGGAAAACAAAGCATAGCCCAATGAACCTAGAACCTAGAACAGTGCCTGGTGCATAGGAGGCACTCAAATGCTGAATAAATGAATGGCTGAAATGAAATTTGTAAAATGTTTATATTTCCTTAAAAAATGGCCAAAATAATTTGCAAATATCTCAAGCTATTCCAACTAACAGGAAATACAGAGGATAGAATAAGTTAAATACCACCATGAGAAAGTAGGCAGGAACTTCTAGAATATAGGACATTCTGCTGGACAACTGATTTGGTTTTGTCAACAAGTCAATTTTACAGGGAAGAAAAACAGCAAGAGGGTGAGGACTGTTCTAGATTAAGAGACTTATGGGAAAAAAAAATCTAATGCTATAGACTATTTGAATCCTGATTTGAACAAACCAACCACTATAAAAAGACACTTGAGACAAATGAGGAAATCTAAATGTAGACTGAGTTAAATGGCAGTAAAGAATTACTGGTAATTTTGTTATATATAATATCAGTATTGTGATACAAAATTTTTCTATATTTTTTTAAGACATATGGGAATCTTTTAAGTGAAATGACAATGTCTGTGATTGGATTTAATATAATATTATAGGACCCCTTCCAAAGAAAAAGAAAGGAAGAAAGAAAAGAAGGCAGAGTCCGGGCACAATGGCTCATGCCTGTAATCCCAGCACTTTGGGAGGCCAAGATGAGTGGATCACCTGAGGTCAGGAGTTCAAGACCAGCCTGGTGAACATGGTGAAACCCTGTCTCTACTAAAAATACAAAAAATTAGCTGGGCGTGGTGGCAGATGCCTGTAATCCCAGCTACTCGGGAGGCTGAGGCAGGAGAATTGCTTGAACCCAGGAGGTGGAAGTTGCAGTGCGCCGAGATCACGCCACTGTACTCCAGCCTGGGCAACAAGAGCGAAACTCTTTCTCAAAAAAAAAAAAAAAAAAGATAATAAGGAAGGAACTATACATGGATAAGTATGACCAAATGTTATTAAATACTAAGAATGACTATCTGCGGTCCATTATACTATGTTCTCTTGTTCTATGTATGCTTGAAAACTCTCAATCAAAAAATTATTTTTAAGTCCCAACTAACTCAACATGAAGACAGCAGTTGATCTCTTGGAGTCTAGAGTTTTCAAAACCTAACTGACAGCTCTCTTTTTTGGGAACCAATGCGAAATCAGGATGACAGATGAAATTCTGTGTCCCCTCTGTTTTTGGCAACTATTTGCTCAGGGAATACAAACTCATTTTAATGATCCAAGAAAAGTATATGATACACTTAAAGAACCAAATCATATAGATTACATTCTGAAATCAGATTTCAAATATTTGAATTGTCTTTACCACTGGCCTTTACTTGCATAAGGAATTAAGAGTTAACACTGGGATGAAATAACTTTATTTTTCTGTTCCAAAATTTCTGTTAAGTGTTCTCCTCAAATGTTTAAAATGTTTTGTTTAGAAGAAATATAATCATTTCAAGAAATCTGCCCTGAGGAAGCACTCTTACCCACTATTCTTTTGGAGATTCATTTTTAAGGGACTGGCCAAAAGTATTTCATGACAGCTTTGCTACTGTACTTCAGTTTCATGGAACACCTAATCCAGGACCTTCCATTGGCACTATTTGGATGAGGGAGGCTTGTTTGCCCTCGCTTTTCCTTTCTCCTGCATTTTATAATGCTTTCTCTCTGAAGGGGAAAAACAGAAAATGATTCTTTTTTCATTGAAAACCAAAATCCCTGGAGCACATGCTTTTGGCATCTTTCTCTTGAGTTGTGAAGGTGAAATACTATCTCCTGGTACCACCTTTGCCAAATGAAAGACTCTAAGGCCTTCTTTAATACTTAGCTCAACCATCACCATACCTCGATGAAAACTCTACACCCTAGCCTTTCAGGAAGTTACAAGCACTCTCTTCTATTCTTCTGGTACACCACATTCAAAACTTGCAGTAGTGTAGCATAATTTAGCACTTCATATGTTGTTTTCCCTCCCTAGATTGTGAGCAGCTCACGGCACAAACGTGTCTTTCCTATTTATTCTCCAAGTTATAGGACCAGGCTCCATCCCAGGCACATAATAGGTACTGAATACCTTATAAATTAATAAAAGGCAGGAAAGCAGGGAGGAGAACCAGGGAGGACAGGCCTTCCCTTGCAGGCTGTTCTTTTTCAAGAGGCCAAGTATTGAAAGGATGAAAAGATTTAAGGGAAGCCACAGTGCCAGTGAGCCATATATAAGCCTAAGGACTTCTACATTCAAGGAAGGAAGTGCAAAAAGAATGGAGAGTTCCTCTTTTACACACAATGGGAATGGAATCACAGGTTAACAATTAGAACAGTTAAGAGTATGTGAGTAAGGTACCTAATTATATCTAGACCTTTGCTTTCTTTTAGATTTCTCTCTATATTAATTATTTAAAATATTAATATCTAACCTTAGAGTTTAAGATTATTTTACTAAATAATTTTATTTCCAAAAAGGAAAATCTCCCTCCCAGGTAAAACATGTCTATATCTCAATCCCTAGGATTGAATTCTATAGCTTGATCAACAAAATCACTGTCTCCTAATGGCAGGAAACTAACTGCAGGCCAAATATCTAAGAAAAAACATACAGTCTTCAGCCCTGAGGAATACAGAACTCTCAATGGCTGGACGAGTGTCTGACACATGGGTGTCCAGTGAATGCATGTTGAATGGATGAGTAACATGACAACAAAACCATACACTTAGAGCATATACGTCACAGTCTACTGATCTGGCAGGCCTCCCCTCCTCCCTCTCAGTTGGCAATGCTTATAATTCAGTGTCCAGAAATATAAAAATTATTACTGTTCCTTATCAAGGTAACCCTTTTTCCTCAGGCCACACCTTCCACAGGGAATCTGAAGATCAGGCTAAAGTCCAAAGTCTCTATTATCGTCAAAGTTCCCACCTCCAATTTGTAAGATGACAATCCTAGCAGATTGCTAATAGGTAATCATAACCTTCTCCACCCAGTGCAGCTACTATAGAAAACATGACCTCAGAGGTAAACCAAATAATCATCATTCCCACTCCACCCCACTCTAAGGAAGAATCAGGGGACTGAGAGAGATGTTGACTTCCGCTATGGACACATACTCCTAGCTTGCCCACCTTTAGACCCTTTAGTAAAGGGTCTCTAAGCTGTGGAAATGAGGAATGACAGCAACTGTGAATAAGTGAGCTGGCCATGAATATCAAAAGTTGTATTGTTGCAAATAATTTGCTAGGGACCCTCAGACCTAATTTAGCCTCACTGTACATTTCAGGCAACTGAGGCCCAGCCACATTCAGACTTGCCTGAGAACACCAAGCCTGAAGGCAGAGTTGGGACTAGAACAACTTGCCCATGCTTCCAATTTCCAAGGAGAAAGGGCACCAAGGAACAAAGAAGAAAGACGGGTGAATCCTACAATTGTTCACCAGGGACTGGGGCATTTAGATACATGTCATAGGTTACCATTTCATCTCCCCACCTGGCAACTCCAGAGCCCCTGCTCACCTAGGAAGATTTGTGAAATCCTATGTATGTACTCAGAGGCCACAACTGTTAGCAAGCTAGAACTGTTCAGGAACTTACATGATTATCTGAAAAATATGAGAAAAGGGCGAGCACTCATGCAGATGTGCAAGAGAAAGGAAAGAAAAGAAAGGAAAGAAAGAAAGAGGAAGGGAGGGAGGGAGGGAAAGGGGAAATGAAGGAGAAAAGGAGGGAAGGAAGAAAGGAAAAAAACAAATTGTAGGAAAGGTACAATAAAGGAAGAATTTGCCTAGAGGCAGTGCCTCAGGGCACCCCTTCTGGAGGTGGGAAAGACTGGGTCAGCAGGCAGTCCCATCAGGCTGGGTTCTGATTCTAAGTTGTGCAAACTAGGGTTAGAATCTTTCTGCAAATAAACAACAATACAAAATTTAAAGGTCTCAAAACCACTGTCCTACAGAGCTTACAAATTAAACTCAATAATCTAGCTTTCTTTTTTCTTTTATAGCAATATCCAGTTAGGAAACATTTCATAAATATAAACAGCCTGATACAGACACAACATCTTGAGCTGGGATCCCTCTGTCCCACTCCAGGTCACTCTGACTGCAGCCAGGCTGTCCTGCACCTGCATTAACCCTAGAAAGCAGTACCAGGAGCTAACGACCTGCCTGAAAGTATCTTCCTAACACTGCTCAGTGAAATCTGCTGCAGGTGATCAACCCCATTCTCAAAAGTGTGTGCGCATGTGTACACACACACACACACACACACACACACACACACACAGCCTTTAACACCCTCCTCCCTCACAATTTTTGATGAAATGCTTAGGAAATATGTATTCTCTCTTTGTATGTATGTATTCTCTCTCTTTTTTCTATTTGTGAAGGACAGAAACAAAATGAAACAAAAATAAAAACAACAAAAAAATTGAGGGTCCTAAGTTACAGAGAAGCACACCAGTAATTAACAGTGAACTAGACATACCTGTATTTTAAAAAAAGAAGTGAGATTAGATCTGATTAACAGGCTATCCAATCAAACTTAAAATCCTTTGGAGGTATCCAGAAATAACCATCAAAATGTTCACAAAAATATTTATTTTAATCATATTCTCTGATTTAGCCTTATTTTTTTTCCCCTCAAGTACCAATGTTCAAAATGTTTATCTGTGAAAATCAAGTTAAATATTTTTTGAGCACCTGCTATGACAAGGTACTGGATTGATGCTATTCCTTGCTCAAGTTGGATGCTTTATTTTTATTTATTTTTTGAGACAGGGTCTTGCTGTCATCCAGGCTGGTGTGCAGTGGTGCAATCAAGAATCCCTGGGCTCAGGTGATTTTCCCACCTCAGCCTCCCGAGTAGCTGGGACTATAGGTGCACGCCATCACTCCTAGCTAATGTTGTTGTTGTTGTTGCTGCTGCTGTTTTTCCCAGAAGCATCATCCTAGGATTTTTTTTTTTTTTTTAAACTAGAGACGAGGTCTTGCTATGTTGCCCAGGCTGGTCTTGAACTCCTGAGCTCAAGCAATTCTCCCACCTTGGCCTCCCAAAGTGCTGGGATTACAGGTGTGAGCCACTGCACCTGGCCTCAAGTTTGTTGCTTTAAATAATTTTTGTAGTTTTATGTGACTTCTAATAGAGCAGCAGTTTTGTTTTCTAAGATATTTCATCCTTAAGTATTCAGGGAAGATACTAGTGTAGTGGTTAAGTCCTCAGACTTGGAGTCTGAACGACTGGCTTCAATTCCTATTCTGTCACTTGGCAACATAGTAACAGTACCTACCTCACAGGGAGACTGTGATGATTAAATGAAATAATGCATGTAAATAACTGAATACTGTGCTTGGCACACAGCCAGCACTCAAAGAATGTCAGATGCTATTCTTTCCCTCTCCTCCTTCATAATAGCAGCAGCAATAGTAGGGGGAGTAGTTGTTGTAATGGTACTAAACACTGGCAAGGACTTGTAAGAGTAGTGGCAAATAATGTTGTAAGAGTAGTAAACACTGGCAAAATCACACAGCGTTCGTAGTTAGGTAGGACTGGGGTCAAATCCTAGTGCTGCCATTTAATCAAGGCTGCTGCAGGCATATAAAGAATCTTTGTGCAATTTATAAAAGATGTCACCCCTGGAAGATAGGCGACAAACAGATGCCCCTTCCTCTGGATAGAGGAATGTGCCGAAGGAAAGACACAAGACTTGGCCAGAAGAGCAGCTGGGTGAGTGGAGCACTGGTGGGGTTTCAGCCTCCGCTCACCACCTCATCAGTCAGTAACATCATCACCACCATCAAGAACCCGGAAGAAAAACTAAGCCTCAGAAAAGGTATGGACAATTGTAGTCGATATTTAATTCTCCATTCCTGATCACTCTAATATTCCGAATTCTGTTTGTCTAATGGAGAGTCTTAGGCCACAGCTCGGATCATGGTACCTCACCCCTTTGCAGAAGTCTCCTGGCTCTCTATTTCTTGCTGAATTACACACAAATTCCTCAGGCTGGCATTCAGGTTCCCAAGGGTACCTATTTATCTTTGAGCTTTATTTCCTCTGTGGCAACTTGGCAGCTTTGCAAATAACTGTCCTATCCTTTCCTACCTTTGCTAGAATATAGGTACCATGAAAACATAGATTCGTGTCTATATTGTTCAAATACATATTCCAAGCACCCAGAAAAGTGATTGGTATATAGTGGGTGCTCAACAAATACTGGAAAATAAATGCATTTGCTCATTGTAGGCCCCTTTACCTGGAAACCCCTCCAGCCTTGAAGATTTTATCCTTCTTTCAACGTCAGTCCTACACGAAAGCCTTCCTAATTCCTACTTGATTTTTCCACGGAAAAATTTAAACAAATGGAATAATTTGAACAAACTAATTTGAAAAGCAAGCCAGCAACAGAATTTTTAATATTTTAAAAGCTGAAGTATTGATAAAAGCCATTTACTCCTCTAGAACTAGCCAAATTATTCTACTGCTCTTTAGGAGAAATAAATTTCTACTCATCCATTATTGCTGTAAGTGAGATATATATAAATATCATAGATTGCTAATGATTATTTAATTAAAACAAGCAAAGTTACTTAGCTTCACTCCATACTCTACAGAAGGTTTGGGACCTAATTGAGCTTAGACTTAAGACCATATTAATTTCATAGGAAGAGCTTCACTGAAGCTCAAATGGTGGGCTCTGGTATCAGACATACATTGTAAGGAACTTGGGCAAGTTAATCTCCCTGTGCTTTCTTCATCTGTAAAGTAGGGGTAATAATAGTACTTAAATTATTTTTTATTTTATTTTTATTTTTGAGACGGAGTCTTGCTCTGTCGCCAGGCTGGAGCGCAGTGGCACAATCTCAGCTCACTGTGACCTCTACCTCTCGGGTTCAAGTGATCCTTCTGCCTCAGCCTCCCGAGTAGCTAGGACCACAGGCACGTGCCATCATGCCCAGCTAATTTTTTTTGTATTTTTAGTAGAGACGGGGTTTTACCATGTTGGCCAGGATGGTCTTGATCTCTTTACCTCATGATCCACCCACCTCAGCCTCCCAAAGTGCTGGGATTACAGGCGTGAGCCACCCTGCCTGGCCATACTTACTTACTTTATTAGTTAGGCTAGGTTAGGCAAAGCTGCAGTAACAAATGCCCCTCTTTCCCTATATCAATGGGAGAGTGTCTTATTACAACAATAAATCATGGAAAGTCAGCTACGTGCATGAATGACCATCTAGGACAGTTGTTTTCAATGACCCAGTGATCCAGGTTGGCCAAAAAAAAATAGAAAAGAATGACAGCAGAATCTGATTTTAATAAGAAGGTTGTTTTTTTTTTTTAACCAAAGTTAAAAAAAAACTTTTTTACTGAAAGTGACACTGTCAACTCTGCTCGTATATCACTGACAAGAATTAGTTAACATGCAAGGTCCAGGCCCATACGGGGGGCTGCGAGGTATTGTTTTCTATGTGTCCAGAATGGAGGAATATGAAATGGGATTTGGTGAATTCAAAATACTACTTCTGTCATAACTACCTGATAAGGTTGATGCATAGACTGAATGAGATAATAAATGTACATCTCTTAGAACATACCTGATACATAGTAAGCATTCAATAAAGGTTGGCTAAAACTATAAGTCACTACTATTATATGGTAACACAAGACATTTATATTCAAAAATTTCCCACCGAGTGAAACTTCAGGCTGAGTTAGAATTTAATGACTGATTTCTCTGCACTTATCTGGGCATTTGAAATGACCTTGTCCTAAGTATGTTGAAAAAAAAAAATAGGCCAAAGAGCCAGGAGGGTCCCCACAAATGACTCTAGCCCTGGCACATACTGTGGGTAACTGCTGAGTCCCCTGTGCTTATACTTCTCCCGAAGGTTTGCAGAAAATTCACTCTGCAACAATGCTTGTTTCAGAGATCAGAACGGTTCTAGAATTCTCTGAGGTCTTGGCCTAAACATCACATTTTCATACCATCTACTGCCAGCCTCTAGCTTAATGCAAATACAAAATTACATTTTTCTCTAGAAAGGTACAAAAATTTAAGTAGGATAAATAATAAGGATTTCTGTTCAAAGACGGACATTACAGACAAAATGAACAGACTGGTAACTTATAGGGAAAAGATAATAACAAAGACTCAAATAAAAGATTAGTATCACAATATGTAAGTAACTCCAACAAATAAGAAACAAATGTAAAAATAGGTTAAAAAAATAGAAGGGGAAGCTTAAATGGATAAAAGCAAATAAACAATGATCAGCCTACCAGTAATCAGAGAAATACAAATTAAAGCAAGATATCGTAATGATTGGCAAAAATGATAAATTTGGGTAATACAAAGTATTGGCAAGGATGTAGGAGGACAAGCATTGGCAAGTGCTGCTGGTGGGATTCTAAACTGGCGCAGCCTTTCCGGAAGGGCAATCTGGCAGTGCTCTAAGGATGTTCACCCTGGCAAGCTAAGACAACTGCGCTGCTTATTACCATGGGAATGGAAAGAAGAGTGTGGTGGATGCCTGCTATGGAACCCCACATGGCAATCAGGTTCAACAACCTAAATGTAAAAGGAAAGCTCTTAAAAGCATAAAGCCAAGTGAATATAAGAAACAGAATGAGAACCTTAGTATATCACCTATGTAAATGAAAAACGTCTCTTATGTAAAGGCCACAAAACAACCTACTATATTTTTAAGGGCATATAAATAAATAAGAACATTGTTAATGGGAATGGGAAGAGTGGAGATGGAAGATGAAAAAGTAAAAAGATGAAAACAAAAGCAAAGCCATGCACCGACTGGTGGTGATGATAATGTGCTATCAACTAACCAGTATGATGAATTCAACTCTCTAACCCAAGGTGCCAGAGACACCCACCCTCACACAAGAAAGTAGAAAACCATTTGCAGGAATTATTTGGTACTCATCCATGAGGGTCTTCCAAAAATTCATGATTGACATATGTAGCTAAATGGAATAAAATAGGCTGTGGGATGATGGTGATCTGAATTGAGTTTTCTAACTACTAGAGAAGATCGCAACTGTTTCTCAGCAGTAAAGTGAGTCCTTTTCTTACAGAATTAATTGATAAATGCTTTGAAATGAGAAACCCAGATCCTAAAATACAAGGCCGAACATATTCGGAGAGGACTAAAAGAAGTAAATTAAGTGAATTCATTATAAAGGTCAAGGTACAACCTGTCACCTTAGCTCAACGTGACACTTCATTTTGGCTTTCTTAATTCCAGTACGTCTTAATTTTGGCACATTCTTACCCTACACACAAGAGAGGATGTGCCCCCATAATGATTCATCAATAGGAAAGCATTCTTTCTGTGGGGGGGTGGAGGACACAGGTGAGGTTAAGGTACAAAATCCATGCTGGTGCTCTGCCATAATTAACTGCAGTAAAACATGGGAGGAATATTCCCCGTGATTGAAGCACTCAAGGCATATATCCTTGTGGCAATGTTTTACAGGCTTTTTACATTGTACTACCTGTTGAAGATGTTTATTTAAGTCTTTGTTTTCTCTCTTTTTAAGTCTAAAGAAAGGATGAGAGTCCTGATTATTTGTATTCATAGGTTCCATTTCTTTTTCATATTTAAAGATACACTATGGACAAGTTAAATAATGCCATTTCCTCCCCCAGCTGCATGTGATGAATGAACAAAAGCCCCAACTAAAATGTTCCCATCGCATAAACTAGAACAACATTACTAAGTCCAACTTGGGTAAGTCCAATTTACCCAGCTGTTTCTGAAGCAACTAGATGTTGGAATTAAAGCAGATTTTTCTATTCTTTGGGGAACTTCCTACTCAACATTATAGGAAAGTAGTCCTTGATAAAGCTATTGAGAAAAAGTAACATTTTAAATGGGAGGAAGAGAGAGAAGACAGGGAAGGGGCAGGGGCATGGGAGGGAAGCAGGAGGGGGAAGCTCCAGGGAAGGGGGGACTCAATGGGATGTGGGAAGAGACAGGAAGGGAGAGAGGCTGGGTTCAAAGCTGAGGACTACTAATAGAGCAAGGCTAAAATAATCCAACATTAGGAACACAGTCAGTACCCCGGTCACGAATTTTATTCCATTAAGTAGTGCTTAGCCAAATCTTTCTGGCATCTTCTCTAGGATTTATTTTCACTCTCTGACCCAGTAGTGGTTTTCCATCTGGTCTCACACTCCTTATCAGAGTAGAGGTGTGAATTACATCTAGAGATTGTTCTGGGATCTCTGAGCACTCCCAGTTCTAAAAGCTTTTAACTTCCTCTGGCAAAGGATGCTCCTGACCTGCAATTCCCAATTGTTCCCCTGGCCAACTGGGCCCCGTGGCTCATCCCATATGATTTCCCAAATGACAGAACACCGGTTCTGTATCTGTACTGTGACTTCAGAGATCTTTCACCATTCGGGGCTTCATCTCTATTTCATGGCCTGGCCTCTATTAATCCTCCTGTGTCTTGCCAGAGGCTTTGTCTTCATTTTGCAACCTGTTCCTGCTGATGCACCGCAGTTTCTTGCCAGCGTCTTTATAAGTCTTAAGACTTAAGAAATCTCTGGCAAGAGGCTGTGGAGGATTAGTTGAGGCTACGAAGCGGAGATGAGACTCCTGATAGAGCCAAATGTTAAGAGTTTGGCCAAACTTGTTCTTCATTTTTTTCTTTCCTTTATATTAAAAAGCCACCTAAACACAACAGAAGAGCTTTTAAGCAAAATTAACAATGGTCTCCTGGTGACAACTAAGGCCACAAACAAAAGGTTTCTTCTTATGCAAGCGGAATATTAGGGCACCATGTAACACCTAGACTGGGTTCATATCCTCTTTGACTGTGCACTGACTTCCTCAAAAATATCGTCTCTCTTGGCATCCCACTTGAAGATCCATATATAAAAAAAGAAATATAAATAAAAATGTGTGTGTAAGGCAGCAAACAAATGTTGAGATTGGGTCCACATTAGCCATATGGTATTTTTGTATAAAAACAATCATTATGTGATATTAGGACCAAAGAAAATGAAATTCATATTCATTTCCAAAATCTGACAGCTTGTTTATTTCTGCTATCATGTTGCATACTGGAATTTCTTTCCTTATAGTCAAATCCTAAAAAAAATAAAAAACAATTTAATACCACACAATAATGTACTACTTTTTAAAAAATGGAACACAGGACACGGATCCTTGGTTATTACCAAAATTTCCTCCCCTTGCTCTCCCCATTAAAAAACTCACAGAGGCCGGGCATGGTGGCTCATGCCTGTAAACTGAGCACTTTGGGAGGCCGAGGTGGGAGGATCACTTGAGGTCAGGAGTTTGAGACCAGCCTGGCCAACATGGCAAAACCCTGTCTCTCCTAAAAATACAAAAAAATTAGCCAGGTGTGGTGGTGCGCACCTGTAGTCCCAGCTATGCAGGAGGGTGAGGCAGGAGAATCGCCTGAACCCAGGAGGCAGAGGTTGCAGTGGGCCAAGATTGCATCACTGCACTCCAACCTGGGCGACAGAGCAAGACTCTGTCTCAAAACAAACAAACAAACAAACAAACAAAAAACCCCATAGATACCTGGTAAACTAGTACATAGCATAGAGCTTTTAATAAGAAAAGACAAACATTGTAGTGTTAAGTCTATTTTTGGGAAGGTTAAGGATGCTATCTATTGCTTGAATCTGATTGGCTGTTTCAGTCAAGGGAGCAAGAGAAAGTTATTTAAACTATTACTTATAGATGACAAAGCCGATTAATTGCTCCAGCAAACTCCCAGGCTGCCTACTAATATGCACTTTACCCCTCTGGCTAATTGAATGTGTGCACAGTATGATTACAAATGGATAGGTCCTGGTCTTTTCTTCTCTCTGAAATGATATACTGCTTTTATTAACAGGGAGTGAAGAAGAGAGCTAATATTTATAGATGACATTATATTTCATTCACTTCTCTAACAAATTAGCTTTTGTAGCCTTCCATTAGTAGAGGGTAATAAGGGACAAACATGTATGGAGAGACACTTGGACTCAGTGAGATGGAAATGGTGAATGATGATCAGTGAAAAATGAATACAGGAGAGTCAGCAATGACTAATAAGGGGAAAGGAATTCAGTGAAGAAATACAATGTCCTGTCCTGGCTTCTCCTTCTTTTAGTGTTGTTCACTGTCAATCACTGTCAACAGCCTAGAAGATAGGTAGGGTTGTTTTGGAAAGTTGATTCTAAACCAGCTACGTATGAAGAAGGTAAACAAGAATGAAAATGTGTATTATATTTCCCTAAAAGGCACATTTCACACATTTAGTAGAAAAGATACAAGTGCTAACTGTGATTAGCAGTTCACTTTCATTAACACATTCAAAATGAATAGGGGTTTCCTAATATTTATTTTATAAAATAACAGGTGTTAGGAACCGTCCAGCTCCACACAATGCCTTGGTGCCAATCCTAGATAAGGATCACTTGTTTAGGTCTTAGGGTCCAGGATGTTTCGTTCCATACCTGTCAACAATGGCTCCTAAATTTTGGCCAGAAACTAATCAGTCTGCAGGTCCTTCAAACTTCCACTGCTGCCCACCGCTGCCTTCCTAGAACCCAATCTATTGGCCCTGGACCACCACAGAAGTTCGTTTTCTGTTCCTCACTTGCCTTACTGCCAACTAAAGGGTCAACACGACTCCTGAACTCTTCTTCAGCCTTAGCTTAGGACACTAGTGCCTAGTCAACCTCATCTCCTTAAGCTAATACCTAGTTTCAATCATATCTTCCGGGCCCTAATTATAGTCTAAACAAAATAATAATCATTCAAAAAATTTGAGTGCTTAGTATTTGCCAAGCACAATTCTAGGAGTTTGGTGGATAAGAATGAACAAAGTCATTTATGAATTTTTAAAATTTCAAAACAAAGACTGTCATCTGCTAGAAAAATCCACAGCCACTCAAACAGCAAATGTAGGCTGGGAACAGGAAGGGCTAGGTGGCACTTACCTGTGCCAGCCTAGCCAAGAATATGCACATAAAACATGCAACTTGTTACAAGCACGTAACGAAAGAGCAAAGGATGTGTGTCGGCTAAGATGTCAACTCAGCATGCAATGTCACACACGCCACCTTGCTTCTGGGATTACACCAACTGGCACAGCACTTCTAAAATCAATTGTTTGCCCTCGATGCTGACCCAGCAAAGGGATTAGCACTGCATTATAAAAAGGAATCCAAGAAGTGCAAAAACAAGGCACTTAAAGAAAGGCTGGGATAGAACCATGGTAACAGGTACACACATTCAAGCCGACAAACCAAAAATTCTAATAATCTTAGGTAAATTACCATACTCTTCATCCACATTGCCTGGCCTTCCTCCCTAAAGTTCAGAGTGGACCTGCTTTAGGTTTTTTACAGGTTTTGTGAGGACAGGTGGGGGCAGGGGAGGTGTTGTCACTAGAACAGATTCTAAATACAGGTAAGGCATTAAAAAGTTCTCCTTTTTCCTTTCCTTTTTATTTTCCCCTCCCACTTGTATCCTGCAAGTCAAGACCAAAGACTGTTGATACCACAGTGGGTCTCTGCTTACTTAAAGGGCTGAAGTAACACTGATATTAGTGAAAAATGTTTTGGCCAACTATACGATCTAATCTCTCAAGGGCAACACAGGCCCAGGCTCAGGCTTCCCTGGTATTTAGTCACTGGAGCTAAAGGCAAGGGGGAGAAGGAAGGACAGGTACTATGGACACACAGCAGGAAGGTACCTCAGGTACCAACAATTGAAGATGATGCTAAAGAACACTCTTTGGTTGATGGTTTTCAGGCCGTTCTGATCATTGTAAATCCAGGCTGCAAATTTCCTTTAAAGCTGTCCTGGCCAGGCGCGGTGGCTCACGCCTGTAATCCCAGCACTTTGGGAGGCTGAGGTGGGTGGATCACAAGGTCAGCAGATTGAGACCGTCCTGGCTAATATGGTGAAACCCCGTCTCTACTAAAAAAATACAAAAAATTAGCCAGGCATTTTTTGCGGGCACCTGTAATCTCAGCTACTCGGGAGGCTGAGGCAGGAAAATGGCGTGAACCCGGGAGGCGGAGCTTGCAGTGAGCCGAGATTGTACCACTGCACTCCATCCAGCCTGGGTGACAGAGCGAGACTCAGTCTCAAAAAAAAAAAAAGCTGTCCTGTGGTAGTGAATTTTCAGCGGAGAGCTTTTTCTCCCTTCTACCCCAAACCAAGTCAACATAAGCATATTTCCTTGCATTCTCCCTCTGTAGCACAGATTACCTTCTAATTTATCCTTACATGGAGGCTATTGCAATTTGGGGGTCTCAATTTCATATGGACTTACGGGGTTCCCGCCTTGGACAAAACCTTGGATTTAGCTCCTGTCTCCTACACCTAATTAGGTTATCAGAACTTAAGTTAAAGGACATGGTGGCTAGGTAGATGTCTGGGTTTTCTGAAAGCTGTCTTTAGTGCTGACCTACTCTTCTGGATCTTGCTTAAACATTATTTCTGGCCTCTGAGGTTGTGTTACTTTCAGTTTTTATTTTATCTTATTTCATTTCCAGATTTTTAGCTAGAGGGTTGCTCAGGAAGAGTCATACATACTGGGAGAAACAGAAGTTGGAACATGTATTTTTTTAAAAGTTCTCCAAATGATTCTGACATGGAATGGGGCTTTGTTACTAGTACTCTCTACTATGGCTGTAACAGACACAATTCTTTGATTCCTTCTAACAAAAACAGCAATTTATCTATCTCATCCCTTTTACTTCATTTCCATTTCTCATTTAGGTTTAAGGGTAGGACATCTAGATCATTGTAAAGAGGAAATGTTTTAAATCAATCTGCCATGCCCATTTTTTAGCAAGTGTTTTTGGTACTTTTAAAAGGTAGAAAACATCGTTGAGCACTTGCAAAGCACAAAGTCCTCTGTTTTATGATTTCATAAACACTGTTTCTTTTATAAACTTAGCAAGTTAAATACTATTAGCTGCACATTTACAAATAAAAGAACAAGCTCAGAGAGGCTAGAGAAATTGGTCAGGATATGTATCAGCCGGCGCTCAAGCAAGGCTTTAAAACAAGAGTCAATGTGACTCAAAAGAAAGTCTTTCTATACCTGATGTTGTTTCTCAGAAGAATGAAATAGTCTCCTGCCTTACTTTTAAGAGGCAGGGTCTTGGCCAGGTGTGGTGGCTCGTGCCTGCAATCCCAGCACTTCAGGAGGTGTAGGTTGGGTGGATTATGTGAGCTCAGGAGTTTGAGACCAGCCTGGGCATACACACATAGCGAGATCCCATCTCTATAAAAAATACCAAAAAAATTAACTAGGTGGGTGGCACACACCTGTAGTCCCATCTATTCGGGAGGCCAAGGTGGGAGGATCCCTTAAGCCAGGGAGGTGGAGGCTGCAGTGAGCTGAGATCATGCCACTGCACTCCAGCCTGAGTGACAGAGTAAGACCCTCCTCAAAAAAAAAAAAAAAAAAAAAAAAAAAGACAGGGTCTCACTCTGTCACCCAGGCTGGAGTGTGATCATAGCTCTATAGGCTTGAATTTCTGGGCTCCAGCAATCCTTCTACCTCAGCCTCCTGAGTAGCTAGGACTACAGGCACAAGCCATCATGCCAAGCTAATTAAAAACAATTTTTTGTGTGTGGAGATAGGGTCTTGCTATGTTGCCAAGGCTGGTCTCAAACTCCTGGCCTCAAGTGATTCTTCTGTCTCAGCCTCCCAAAGTGCTGGGCTTACAGGCATTGAGCCATCATATCTGACCTACAGCTTACCTTTTCATTGATAAACTGGTGTGTCAATTCAAAGATGAAGAAACTGAGGTGAGAAAAGAAAAATGAGTCAGTGACAAGCTCACAGATACATGTCACGTTAATGGCAGAGTGAGTACTTTAACCAGAGTCCTTGGTTCCAAATGCCATGCTTAACCAAATCATATACACACAGACACATACACACATATGTTAATGCTTTTTTGTAAAAAATTCATTTTTTTTTTATATGGAGTCTTGCTCTGTTGCCCAGGCTGGAGTGCAGTGGCACAATCTCAGCTCACTGCAAGCTCCGCCTCCCGGGTTCACACCATTCTCCTACCTCAGCCTCCCGAGTAGCTGGGACTACAGGCACCCGCCACCATGCCCAGCTAATTTTTTGTATTTTTAGTAGAGACGGGGTTTCACCACGTTAGCCAGGATGGTCTCGATCTCCTGACCTCGTGATCCGCCTGCCTCGGCCTCCCAAAGTGCTGGGATTACAGGCGTAAGCCACCACGCCCAGCCAAAAATTCTTAACTTTGAGTTCATTGTACACTGTTGTAAGAAACAAAATGCTCACCATGTAGAGACTGATGCCAGCTTATAATTATGGCAGTGACAGCATACCATCTTCCACCTTGCTGGCACTATTAACAGTATCCTTGAGATATTGCATGGGTGCTGTGTTTGGTTTGTTTGAACTAATATTTTATATGTGCATTAGGCTTGCTCAAAACTACTTTTGAATTAGGTAGACTTGAATTTTCACTATTTTATGAGAAAATTGTGCTATGTCCAACTTGGCACTCTCATTTCTGCTGATGGCCTGTGTCAAATACACTTACTGTCCTATGACAGTCACTTTTATAAAGACAGGCTGTCTATATCCGAACTGTATATATATTACAGCTATGTATCTACGATAAAAATAGACACTGATATTTTGTTCAACAACAATTCACTGCTGTACCTGAAGACCCTGGCCCTCTTGATAGACTTCTCCACCCAAAAGGATGGAAACCATTCCCTCAGTTGCCACAGTATGAATCTGTGAGTTTGTTACACTGTCCTCATGTCCTTTAAACTTTAGAATTCTCATGTCATAGAGATTTTTTTTCCAGACAGATATCTGAATGTCAAAACAAAAAGACAATAAACTATCTTGACACCTGGGGGAAATTATGTAAAGATTTTATGTTATTATTATCTATAAGAGAGCAAGACATTTGAAAAGTATAGTAAGAGATGCTGTCCAAAGAAACTTAAAGCTGTAAAATAAAAAAATAAAGGAAAGATCAACACAAGCACAAATAAGCACAAATTGCAGACACATTCTTAATAGTATTCTTGTGGACTGCAGAAGTCAGCACACCTTCCCAAGGGTATATTTTTTATCCCCCAATGCCAATGTAGCACTGGGGAAAATGAAAACAGAAATTAATTATCTTACTGTGAAAAAAAAATCCCATTGCATTTAAGCTCAGAGAGGTTCCTCTCTATTCAAGTATTTCTGGTCTTCTTGCTAGAGCACAATTTTCTCTCTGGTATATGATCCCCATTTAAAATGTCTATGTTGGCTGGGCGTGGTGGCTAACGCCTGTAATCCCAGCACTTTGGGAGGCGGAGGCAGGTGGATCACGTGATGCCAGGAATTCAAGACCAGGCTGGCCAACATGGCAAAACCCTGTTTCTATTAAGACTGCAAAAATTTGGCAAGTAACAGTGGCTCACACCTGTAATCTCAGCACTTTGGGAGGCCGAGACAGGCGGATCACCTGAGGTTAGGAGTTCGAGACCAGCCTGGCCAACATGGCAAACCCCATCTCTACTAAAAATACAAAACTTAGCCAGGCATGGTGGTACGTGCCTGTAATTCCAGCTAAATCACTTGAACCCAGGAGGCGGAGGTTGCAATGAGCCGAGATCGTGCCACCGTACTCCAGCCTGGGTACAAGTGAAGCAAGACTCCTTCTCAAAAAAAAAAAAAAAAAAAAAGTCTACGTTGTAATCATACAACAAATTGTGAGGGAAACACTGAAAATTACGGTTTCATTAGCCTATTTATAAGTAATAGTCACTGTTTATTTGGAGAGGTTTCTGTTTTCTTGGCAGAAAACAATGTAAACAAAGTCAGTTTGGTTGCCATAAGCTAAGTTCTATCCAAGAAAATCTTGCCTAGAAAGAGGTCAGCAACCTTCTTAATCTTGACCACCAACACGGCTTCACAAGGAACTCTGGGAGCTGAGAGCAGGAAGCCTTACCACAGACAGTAAACTGGCAAGTCAGTCATGTTGATTTCCTGCTTAAAACTATAGGCAGGGAACCAGATGGCTCCCTGCAGCTCTCACCGTGGCTTACAAGGCCCCAACACCATCTGTCCTGGGAAACTTCCCCACTTCCCTCTCACTGACCAGGCTTCACACTCTGACTCCAGCCACACGAAGCTCTCCTCCATGCATTCTGCACGTGCTGTTCCCTTTGACTGGAACACTCCCGCCCGCTCTCTGAGTGGCTAACCCTTACTTATCCTCAAGTGTCCTTCCCCTGACCCCCCAAATTTGGTTACGGGGTCTTCCCAGGTGCTCTCGAGCCCCTCATGCTTTTCCTCTCATAGCACCTGTCAAACTGCACCACAGCCTCCCACAGATATGTCAGCTTCTCAGAGGCAGTGACTCATCTGTCTTCTTCCTTGTTTTATTTCTATTGCCTACAGGACCTGACACTTGCCAGGTACTTAGCAAGCATCTGTTGACTAAATTAATGGAATAAAATGAGAAAGCAAAGGAGGGAAAAGAGGAAGAGAGAAAAAACTGCTTTTGAAGGATCATGGCCATAGTGTGATCAGTTTTAGTGACATCATCTGTTACAGAAGTTACATCGTGACGTAACTTCTTTTCCTTCTTATAAATTGAAAAGATTATATACCTTTGGTTTTCTTGAGCAATGGATAAGCATTTTGGGATCCAGAGCAGGAGAACAACAGAAATAACAACTCCTTGTATTTTCATGCCACTTTACAGCTTTTAAAGAGCAGTATGCTCTTGTATCAATTCTGAGGCAAGTGAGATAGGTATTATTATTACTGTCATTTTACACATGAGGAAACTGAGGCTCAGTGACACATGACTTGCCGAGGTCACATGTTTATTAAGCGTCAGAGCCAGAGCCCTAGACCAGGCCTTCAGATCCCTCGGTGAAGGCAGAGTTGGGCCCACTTAGCACGGTGCATAAATCCAGCACCTTGCCTACCACCTAGGGCTCAAGAATGTAGAGGTTCAAGAGTGCAGAGATATTAGCCTCTATCTTGAACAAACTAAAATCTAATCAATCTAATTTTTTAATGTGCCCAATTTATTCCTCATAGGTACCATAAACAGAACTATTTCTTTGTTTCTTTTTTGAGACAGAGTTTTGCTCATGTCGCCCATGTTGGAGTGCAATGGCATGATCTCGGCTCACTGCAATCTCCACCTCCTGGGTTCAAGCCTCCTGCCCCAGCCTCCTGAGTAGCTGGGATTACAGGTGCGCACCACCACGCCCAGCTACTTTTTTTGTATTTTTAGTAGAGACAGGGTTTACCATGTTGGCCAGGCTGGTCTCGAACTCCTGACCTCAGGCGATCCACCCATCTCGGCCTCCCAAAGTGCTGGGATTTCAGGTGTCAGCCACCGCACCCAGCCAACAGAACTATTTTTTAAGAGCAATTTTCATGAAACAAATGCCATCTTAAGCTATAAAAAGGAGCTATAGGCCGGGCGTGGTGGCTCACACCTGTAATCACAGCACTTTGGGAGGCCCAGGTGGGCGGATCACGAGGTCAGGAGATAGAGATCATCCTGGCCAACATGGTGAAACCCCATCTCTACTAAAATTACAAAAAAATTATCTGGCCGTGGTGGCACGTGCCTGTAGTCCCAGCTACTCAGGAGGCTGAGGCAGGAGAATCACTTGAACCCGGGAGGCAGAGGTTGCAGTGAGCCAAGATCACGCCATTGCATTCCAGCCTGAGTGACAGAGTGAGACTCTGTTTCAAAAAAAAAAAAAAAAAAAAAAGAGCTATAAACCCAGTCAAATGAATAAAGACCCATAAATTGTGACTGCATTAGCTTCTCTATTTTTTTTTTTATTATACTTTAAGTTCCAGGGTACATGTGCACAACGTGCAGGTTTTTTACGTATGTATAAATGTGCCATGTTGGTGTGCAGCTTCTCTATTAAAGGTAATATACAATCTCCTGGCTGGGCGCAGTGGCTCACGCCTGTAATCCCAGCACTTTGGGAGGCCGAGGCAGGCAGATCACGAGGTCAGGAGATCAAGACCATCCTGGCTAACATGGTGAAACCCCGTCTCTACTAAAAATACAAAAAATTAGCTGGGCGTGGTGGCGGGCGCCTGTGGTCCCAGCTACTCGGGAGGCTGAGGCAGGAGAATAGCGTGAACCCAGGAGGCGGAGCTTGCAGAGAG
Source organism: Homo sapiens (assembly GCF_000001405.40). Classification (NCBI taxonomy): domain Eukaryota; kingdom Metazoa; phylum Chordata; class Mammalia; order Primates; family Hominidae; genus Homo; species Homo sapiens. The sequence goes on along the minus strand of NC_000002.12, from coordinate 28,192,105 downwards.
CCGAGATCGTGCCACTGCACTCCAGCCTGGGTGACAGAGTGAGACTCTGTCTCAAAAAAAACACAAAAAACCAAAAAACAATCTCCTGCCTACATCAATGGGACACTGAGCTCATGTTGAAAACAGCTCTTCGATTTCTGTCATCATGCAAATGAAAAATGGCCATGTAGGCAATCAGTTCTTTTTTCTTTTTTTTATAGTTTTGAGAAATAATTGATGTACAATTGTACATTTCAAATTTTAATGACTTTTGACACCTGAGAAACCACAATAAGGAAAATGGACGTATATAGCGTCTTCCTAAGTTTCCTCTTACTCTTGTAATCTCTCCCTTCCACAACTACACTGCTCCTGTCCCCAGGCAACCACTGTTCTGCTGTCATTATAATTTGCATTCACTAGAATTTTATATAAATGTATACTTATAATTATATAAATAGTACATCATGCAGCATGTACTCTTCTTTGCCTGGCTTCTTTCACTCAGCATAACTATTTTGAGATTCATCCATTTTGTTGTGCGTACCAATAGTATACTCATTTTTATTGCTGAGGCGTATTCCATTGTAATGGATATCCCACTATTTGTTTATCCATTCCCTGTTGATGGACATTTGGGTTGTTTCCACCTCTTGGCTATTATAAATAAAGCTGTTATGAACACTCATCTGCAAGTCTTTGTGTAGATGTATGCTTTCATTTCTCTTGACCAAGTACCTGCAGTAGAATGGCTGGGTCATCTGGCAGTTGTATGCTTAACTTTGTAAGAAACTGACCAACTGTTTTTCAAAGTCAATGTATCATTTTATATTTCCATAAAAGTTCCAGTTCTACATCCTTGCCAATGCTTGTTTTGGTCAAACTTTTAAATTTTACCCATTCTAGTAGGTGTATAGTATTAATCTCATTGTGGCTTTAATTTGCATTTCCCCAATGACTACGTATTTGTTCAAATCTTTTGCCTAAATTGTATTAAGCTGTTTGTCTTCTTATTCCTAAGTTGTAACAGTTCTTTGTATACTCTGGATAACAGTTCTTTGTCATATATATGTTTTGCAATTTTCTCCTCTTTGGGTTTGTTGGCTGGCTGTTTTATTTTGTAACCGTGCCTTGAAGAGCAAATATTTTGATTTTGGTGAAGTGTAATGTACTGATTTTTCTTTTATATTTAATGTTGTTTTATGTATCATACTTAAGAAATTTTTGCTAAGCCCAAATTCACTAAGATTATTTTCCTATGTTCTCTTCTAGATGTTTGTCATAGTTTGAATGTTTGTGTCTCTCCCAAAATCATATGTTGAAATCCTAACCCTCAGGTGATGGTATTAATGGTATTAGTAAGTAGAACCTTTGGAAGGTGATTAGATCATGAGGGCTCTGCCCTCATGGGATTACAGCACCGCCCCCCCCTTGTTTTTTGAGACAGAGTTTTGCCTTGTTGCCCAGGCTGGAGTGCAATGGCGCCATCTCGGCTCTCCATAAACTCTGCCTCCCGAGTTCAAGTGATCCTCCTGCCTTAGCTTCCTGAGTAGCTAAGATTACAGACATGCACCACCACGCCTAGCTAATTTTTGTATTTTTAGTAGAGACAGGGTTTCTCCATGTTGGTCAGGCTGGTCTCGAACTCCCAACCTCAGGTGATCTGCCTGCCTTGGGCTCCCAAAGTGCTAGAATTACAGGTGTGAGCCACTGTACCTGGCCTAGAGCCCTTTTAAAAGAGACTACAGGGAGCTAGCCTCTCCTGCCATGTGAGAAGATGGCCATCTATGAAAGAAGTGAGTCCTCATCAGACACTCAATCTGCCGGTGCTTGATTTTGGACTTCCCAGTCTCCAAAACTGTAGGAAATAAAGTTCTGTTTTTTATAAGCTACTCAATCTATAGTATTTTGTTATAATAGCCTGAATGAACTAAGACAATACCTATAATTTTAGCTCTTACATTTAGGTCTATAAATTCATTTTGAGTTAATGCTGTACATGCTATGGGGTAAGGATTGAGGCTCAACTTTTTGGTTATGGCTATCCAGTTGTTCCAGCATCATTTGTTGAAATGATTATCCTTTCTCTATTGAACTACCTGGGCAACTCTGTCAAAAACTGAATGTCTATAGATGTGTGGGTCTATTTCTGGACTCATTATCAAATTCAGTTTCATTTATCTATTTTTCTCTCTTTATGCCAATACCATATTGCTTTGATTATTGTAGCTTTATAGTAAGTATTGAAATCAGGTATTGCAAGTCCTTCCTCCAACTTTGCTCTTCTTTTCAAAAGTTGTTTTGGCTATTCTCGGTCCTTGGCATTTATATATACATTTTAGAATCGGCTTGTCAATCCCTAAAAAAAAAAGTCTGCTGAGATTTTTGACTACTTAATCTGTAGATCTATAGATCAATGATTACTCTGGGAAGAATTGACATCTTAATACTGAGACTTCTGGCCCACTGACAATATATTTCTCTATTTATTTAGGTCTTCTTTAATTTATCTTTTATACTTTTTGGTATATGGGTTTTGTACATCATTTCTCAAATGTATAACTGAGTACTTCATATTTTTGATGCTATTTTAAATGGTGTTTAATGGCCTATCCTCTGTTCAACAAATATTTTCTGTGCAACTACCATGTGCCAGGATCCAAAGATTCTAGTCCATGCTGATGTTTTCTCTTTTGCTCTTACCGCCTATAATACTTAATCAGTACCATTTATTCTAATTGCACCACAAAACTTAAATAATTTTTTATATGCTGCTGTATTCTTTAATTCTTTCTTGTACATGTCTTATCTACCCAACTAAATTGCAAGCCCTTTGGGAATGAAAACTATAATTTATATTTATTTGTAAATCCATAATGCTTAGAGTATTGATAAGCAAACAGAAGAGAAATCCTTTTTTTTTTTTTGAGAGGGAGTCTCACTCTGTCGCCAGACTGGAGTGCAGTGGGACAATTTTGACTCACTGCAACCTCCAACTGCCAGGTTCAAGTGATTCTCCTGCCTCAGACTCCTGAGTAGCTGGGATTACAGGCACGCACCACCATCCCCAGCTAATTTTTGTATTTTTAGTGGAGACGGGGTTTCACCATGTTGGCCAGGCTGGTCTCGAACTCCCGACCTCAGGTGATCCTCCCGCCTTGGCCTCCCAAAGTGTTGGGATTACAGGCGTGAGCCATTGTGCCCAGGCAGAGAAATCCTTTTTTTAATGAAAGGACTCATAAAGTTAAGCAAATAAAACTTTGAAACTAGTCTGTGTTCAATACTAACTTACAATTAAGCAGATAAAAACAATATTAAATATGTGTTTGCTGTGTTCAACTGTAGCTTAGGGACTAAGGGGCTTCAAGGAGCTGTGGATTTGCTTCCTTGTCCTTTGGGAGCTCATGAGGAAGGAAAACACTGAAGAAACCATCCCCCGTGTATCTAGGTGGCAGAACCTAAACAGCCCCGAGGCCTGTTGTTGGGAAAGCCTAACTCCAAAATGGCTCATGTCCATTTTCCGTTTCAATCTCTGGCATGTGCAATTTTGACAAATATCTGTTAGCATCTGACTGAGCCTGTTTACGGGATACAGGCAGCTGTTTACAAGACATAGGCCAAATTTTACCCTTCAATATCCAAGAATTATTTTCAGTGATTTCAGGTCCATTATTGGGTTCTGACCCTATCCCCTTCTCAGTATAGTTTAAAAATATAACCAACTTGTTTTCAAGTCCTTAAAATGTAGGGTTCCCTCCCAAACCTTCCCTCCGCCCACCCCAGAGTAAATCAGTTTCAAATGTATTTATCACAAAGAATACAAGGCTGTTTAAGGAAGCAGTCAATAGGGCTTTTTAAGTGGTGAGCCAATTAGAGGGTTGGGACTTTATGCCAATGTGTAGGTAGAATGGAGAAGGTGATACATGCTCACAAATGATGGCATGGGAGCCTTCTAGAGCAAATGAACGAGGCGGGCATTGTGGTATGGATCATGCAGTGGCACATACCTCAGAGGCTACCTAGTCTACAGATTAAAATTTCAAACTTGAGTTCAACCCCAAAGAATACATATATATCTACTGCCTGCGCCCGGGGAAAAATACTTGAGTCCTTTTAAATGACAAAAGTAATAGAAAAGCATCTTTAAAAAATAATTCCAGTCCAGGTGCAGTGGCTCACACCTGTAATCCCAGCACTTTGGGAGGCCGAGGTGGGCAGATCGCCTGAGGTCAGGAGTTCCAGACCAGTCTGACCAACATGGTGAAACTCAGTCTCTACTAAAAACAAAAAATAAACCGGGCGTGGTGGTGTGACCCTGTAATCCCAGCTACTTGGGCAGCTGAGGCAGGATAATCGCTTGAACCCAGGAGGCAGAGGTTGCAGTGAGTCAAGATCGTACCACTGCACTCCAGTCTGGGCCACAGGAGAGAGACTCCGTCTCAAAAAAAAAAAAAAAAAAAAAAATTCCAAAGTTCTGTTTTAGGAGAATGGTAATGACTATATTGTGTATGTGAGTGTGTTTCAATTCTTTTGGTAAAAGCCAGAGGGCATTACCAAGTTTTTTAAGATTTCAGATAGATATATAAATTTTACACTGAAAGACTCAAAGCACAAAGAATCCCATGAACTGTTCCTGGGACTCTGCTTTGTCTTTACAGCACTCTGGTTGGGGGAACTGTATGTGGAAAGAGCTATACAACTTCTCCTGCACTCACTCAAGTCACAGTTCTGTGGATATAAGAATCCACTCATGCAACAAATATGTGCCAGGCACTGTGCAAGCCACTATAGTGCTACCCAAACCAACATGGCTCCTGCCCTCAAGATGCTCTAGTGGCCCTTCTCTATGGGTCTCTAGGAGCTTAATAGCTTCACTTCTGCCACTTTCATAGGCAAGATTCAGGCTGAGTTGCAGAGGTGCTCATGAGAGATAGAAAATAGGAATCAAGACTCACATACCATAGTTGCAGTAGCATGCACAATCAAAAACCTATGCCCCCATTATTAAAAATGTTGAATTCCGGCTGGGCGCGGTGGCTCACGCCTGCAATCCCAGTACTTTGGGAGGCCGAGGTGGACAGATCACGAGGTCAGGAGATTGAGACCATCCTAGCTAACACGGTGAAACCCCGTCTCTACTAAAAATACAAAAAATTAGCCGGGCTTGTTGGCGGGTGCCTGTAGTCCCAGCTACTCTGGAGGCTGAGGTAGGAGAATGGCGTGAACCTGGGAGACGGAGCTTGCAGTGAGCCGAGATCATGCCACTGCACTCCAGCCTGGGCGACAGAGCAAGACTCTGTCTCAAAAAAAAAAAAAAATGTTGAATTCCTTGTGATCCATGATGTTACAATAGATAGTACAGGCTAACAGGATATACTACCACTCTTCTTCACTACTGTTTCAATTGCCTTGCCTTGCTTCGCTTCGCTTCTCCATTTTCTCCTTCTTTCTTTCCTTTTCCTTTCCCTCTCTCTCACATACTCTCTCTCTTTCTCCCCTCTCTCTGTCTCTCTCTGTCTCTGTCTCTGTGTCTTTTTTGAGACAGGGTCTCGCTTTGTTGCCTGAACTCCTGGGCTCAAGCAATGCTCCTGCCTCAGCCTCCCAAAGTGCTGGGATTATAGGGGTGAGCCACCACACCCAGCCTTCTTTAGAATGTACTTCTCATCTTTCTTTTGCTCTCCATGTGGGTGATACCCTCTAAAGTGTAACATCCTCTAAAATGTTCCCATAAAGACAAAAATTCATACCACATACTTGTGAATTTGCTTTGAAACAATCCAGTGAAGGACATGGGGACTGTGAAGTGAGTGGGGTACAGGGCTAACCACAGATAGAAGTGGGATGATGGGTATCGAAGGTTCATTACACTATTCTACTTTTTACATATTTTTGGTATTACCCATAATAACTAGAATAAAATAAATACATTAGAAAAAAATTTACCACATCAACAGTTTGCCCTGAAAATATGGTGGTTAAGCTAAGGTCGGAATTAACCATGAATCTGCAAACATAACAGAAATGCATTACTTTGCATTCATGAGTCACTGTGTTTTGAAATAAGCCATGTCTTCAACTCTGCTTCATTCCTTAACATTCCCACACTAAGTCCTACTTTGGTGCTTTACAAGTTGGGTATCCACTAGCTTTTAAAGAAAGAAATCTGTGATCTTACAGGTAAGATCAACTCTTTCAGCAGGCATTTTAAACTGCCACATTTTAAAATAACTTTTATGAAAAAGATATATTTAAAAGAGCACGATTCCTGGGCTCAAGTGATCCTTAGCCTCCCAGTGGTCTTTGTAGATGGCCTGATGGAGTCTCATGGCACAAGAAGATTAAACAATGTCTCTAATTTTCATAAATTTCTGCAATTCAAAAAAAAAAGAGCAAAAAAAATAATTCTTCAAATACTTGTGCAATGACAGAAATGTGGTGATCCAGGTAACTTGCTTTAGTTTCTAAATACTTCATCTCACTCTCTTTTAATGATAATTAAGATCTCATGCACTGACGCTGGCCAAGGGGATTACTTATACAAAAAAATGCATCGAGATAAAAGTCTCAGTGAAAGGAACAGAACCCAAGGCCTAGTATATTTTCAATATGACTCGAGTTTAGTATTGCAGGAATCCAAGTCAGCTCCAAAACTGTGCCCAAGGATGTTTCTGGCAGACGTGCAATCTGGATCATCCACGAAGCTATTTAAAATTACTTGAGATGTTACCACGACAGATTTTAAAGATCAAAACACAGGTGTGTATCAGTGTTGCACAATTCTGTGGTAAGGGAGAACATGAGATCATTCCACCTAGAAACAGACCCAAACACAAACATCCACCTGGAGTTCAGGTGTACGGCTGTCTGAAGGCAGATGAATTTATCTCTGGAGTTTTGTTCTGCTATAAATATGCTCAGATAAGAAATGGGGTTTTAATATATTAATGTTACTTTAAATTGGGTGGGTCTTTTTAGCTGACAAGCATCTTATGTACCTGCCTTTATGCTATTTTTAACCTCTTGAAAGGCTTATTTCTCAATATAAATGGGTTATAGTCACCATAGTTTAAATAGCCTTATTTATTCTTTGCAGCTTCAGTAAACTTGTGAGAGTAACATAAAAGTTTCAGGATAGTCAAGGCACAAATCTTTTCCATTTCATTATGAACCAAGAAAAAAATTATCAAGATAAAGTCTTAAGAAAATAAGTGACTTAATTAAAGCCATCTCATGAAGTAGTATACGCACTTTACCTAATGATTCATTTAACATTAAATAGTTCCTACATAAACTACCTGGGGAAAGGATTATAAATCATGCTGCTATAAAGACACATGCACATGTATGTTTATTGTGGCACTATTCACAATAGCAAAGACTTGGAACCAATCCAAATGTCCATCAATGATAGACTGGATTAAGAAAATATGGCACATATACACCATGGAATACTACGCAGCCATAGAAAAGGATGAGTTCATGTCCTTTGTAGGGACATGGATGGAAACCATCATTCTCAGCAAACTATCGCAAGGACAAAAAACCAAACACTGCATGTTCTTACTCGTAGGTGGGAACTGAACAATGAGAACACTTGGACACAGGAAGGGGAACATCACATACCGGGGCCTGTCATGGGGTGGGGGGAGAGGGGAGGGATAGCATTAGGAGATATATCTAATGTAAATGACAAGTTCATGGGTGCAGCACACCAACACAGCACATGTATACATATGTAACAAACCTACACTTTGTGCACATGTACCCTAGAACTTAAAGTATTTAAAAAAAATACCTGGAGAGAGAGAGACAGAGAGAGAGAGGGAGAGAGGGAGGGGGGGAGAGAGAGAGAGAGAGAGAGAGGGAGGGAGGGAGGGAGAGAGAGAGACACAGAGACAGAGACAGAAAGACAGACATGCATCTGGAAAATTGAACAATAGGAGGCAGTCCTAGTTCTTGATGCCACAATGGTCCTGGATCTGTAAAGTTTTCACGGTAAGCCAGAGATTTATTTTATTTTCAAAAGAAGGCTAACAATAGTCAAAGTGTTACTGATCCATGTGAGCAAGTGTGTACTTATCTCCTATGCCCAAATGCAAACTTTCATTGTTCAACAAACTAGGAGTTAGTTTTGTGTGAATACAAGCATGAAGAAAAGAGTTGTGTGTGTCTCTATGAGCAAATAACAACACTCTGACTCCCTGATGCTAGGTCTACCCAAAGGAGACGAAAAACAACTATGGAAAGGAAAAGCACATACACAAACATAAACAGGACATGCATGTTGTATACCACCATTTGGTTAACAGATGCTGGTGTCTGCCCTCCGCTCTCACAAACGAGTCAATGTACGTGTGTGTGTGTGTGTGTGTGTGTGTGTGTGTGTGATCTTCATCCAAAAGTAACATAAAATTCTGTGTGGCTGGTTTGACAGTGTGTCTGCAAAATCTATGTAAGAATTCTAATGGAGCAAACACCTGCTGAGCCTGTTTGGATGCTGTCTGAACCAGTGATGGGGGAGTCTATGATAAGGTGGCTGAGCTGGAGAATGTTGTTTTTTGTAAAGTAAGCCCAGGCACCATCATCTGTCCCACTGGGCAGCTATTGCTCGCTTACTTCAGGCCTCACTATTATATGACCTTCATTTACATTGAGGGAAGAAATATGTTTTGTAAATTTTTTTTTGGAGATAGAGTCTTGCTCTGTTGCCTAGGCTGGAGTGCAATGGCACGATCTCAGCTCACTGCAACCTCTGCCTCCCAGGTTCAAGCAATTCTCCTGCCTCAGCCTCCCAAGTAGCTGGGATTACAGGCACCCACCACCATGCCCAGCTAATTTTTTTGTATTTTTAGTAGAGATGGGGTTTCACCATGTTGGCCAGGCTGGTCTTGAACTTCTGACCTCAGGTGATCCACCCCACTCGGCCTCCCAAAGTGCTGGGATTACAGGTGTGAGCCACCACGCCTGACCATATTTTGTGGATTTTTCTAATTCATAGGGATGTTCTGGATTAATGGGAACCATTAATATGATATACTTAAGAAAAAAACAAAGCACTCACTTTTGGGTCCTAAAGAATCAGGATCTGGTCCCTACTTTATTACTGACAATCTTCCCAACCCTAAGGCAGTAAAGGGAACCCTCATGGGCTTTGGTCTATCTTGTAAAGTAAGTGGAAGGGTTGGACTAGATGTGTGCTTCCCAATCTTTTCAAGCACGAGGGACACTTCACACATCAAAACCTCTCTCAGACTAATCAAACAACAGCAGATATACTTTAAGAATCTGTGCAGTGAGAAAATATAATGAAAAAAGGTACTTTGGATGCAGTAACAGTTGAAAATAAACTTCCAATTTATTAATCACAGCAGAGTCAACATTCGTTTTTAAAGTAACGGTATACAGATGTTAGATGTTATTTATTTAGTCTACAAACAACAGTTGGTGTACATGTGAATTTGCAGTCCGCAGTAACTGCATAGCAGGTCCTCTTCTCAAGGCTGGGAACCCTGAATGACATACAGACACTCTAAAGCCTTTCTAGCACTGATCTGCCATGATTGTAGTCCTACCACTGCCACTATCTAGGCTGTGTGACTCTGAACACGGGAGGATGTCTCTGTTCCACAGTTTCCTAACTGTATGGGGAGTGGAGGTACCCTAGTGATGTTTCATCACAGCACTGTGCAGCTATGATTGTGTGTGTGATATGTTTCAGCAGAAACCGTGAGATCCCCAGGAGAGTGGCTCTACCAAAATGTAACATAATCGCCCAACTCTTTTTGGCATCTTGGAAATGTTTCTATACAGACCCTGTAATATCTTCTTGCAGAAGAACTCCTGTCCCTAAGTGGGAGATCATCAGCTCTGACACATCCCTGCACACGCTATTCTCCCCCAAATAGAGAGATTCCTGGGGACAATCTCCTTAAGCCTGCTTAAGACACTCCAGTGAGTCTCTCAGAGTATAAGCCAGTGTCCTTAAAGCGGCCTGTAAGGCCCTACATGATCAGCACTACTGCTACCTCATCTTTCTCCCTGGCTCCATGGCCACCTCCTTGCTTCACTCCACTCCAGCCACACTGGGATACTGATCCTTGATCACTCTCAGTAAGCTCCCACCCCAGGCCTTTGTGCTCACAGATTCTCCGCCCTGGAGAACTCTGCCCCCAGAAATCCTCATGGCTCACTCTGACACCTCCTTCTGCTCAAATGTCACTTTCGCAGTGAAGCTTTTCCCTTGCCACCCTATCCAAAATAGCTACCTCATCCTGCACTCCCACCCCAACCCCTACTCCCTCTCTTCCCTGCTTTATTTTGTCTTTTTTTTTTAAAAAAAAAATTTTATTGGTGCATATTTTTCTTTTTTTAAAATAAAATTTTTATTTACCATTACTTTCAATGGCAAAAACTGAAATTACTTCTGTACCAACCTAAATCTGTACTTTTTTAATGGGGTATATGTAATATTTTGTTACATGCACAGAATGTGTAGTGATCAAAATCAGGGTATTTAGGGTATCTATCACTTTGAGTATTTATCATTTCTATGTACTGGGACATTTTAAGTCTTTTCTTCTAGCTATTTTGAAATATACAATACATTGTTAACAAGAGTACCCTACTCTGCTATCAAATATTAGAATTTATTCCTTCTAACTATATGTTTGTACCCATTATTCTACTCTCTACCTCCATGAGATTAACTTTGTTAGCTCCCACATATAAATGAGAACACGTGATATTTGTCTTTCTGTGCCTAGCTTGTTTCACTTAACACTTAACCTGCAGTTCCATGTTGCTGCATATGACAGAATTTCACTCTTTATGGCCAAGTAGTATTCTATTGTGTATAAATACCACATTTTCTCTATCTATTCATCCTTTGATAGACACTTAGGTTGATTCTATATCTTTGTTACTGTAAATAGTACTGCAATTGTTTTTTCTGCTGCCATAAATATGGGGGTACAGGTATCTCCTTAGATATACTTATTTCCTTTCCTTTGGATAAATACCCAGTAGTAGGACTGCTGGATCACGTGGAAGTTCTATTTCCAGTTTTGCAAGAAACCTCCATACTGTTTTCCACAATGGCTGTACTAATTTACATTCCTACTGACAGTGCATAAGGGTTCCCTTTTCTCTGCATCTTCACTAGACATCTGTTGTTTTTGTCTTTTTAATAATTGCCATCCTACCTGGGATAAAATGCTATCTCACTGTAGTTTTGATTTTCATTTTCCTGATGATTAGTAACATTGAGCATTTTTTGTATACCTGTTGACAATTTGCGTATCTTCTTCTGAAAAATGTACATTCATGTCTTTGCCCACTTTTTAATGTGATTTTTTTTCTTTTTGCTGTTGTTTGAGTTCCTCGCATATTTTGGATATTAGTCCTTGGCAGATGAATAGTTTGTCAATGTTTTCTTCCATTCAACAGATTGTCTCTTTACTCTGTTGATTTGTTTCCTTTGTTGTGCAGAAGCTTTTTTATTTAATATAGTCCCATGTGCCTATTTTTGTTTTTGCTACCTGTGCTTTTGAGGCCACAGACTTAAAATCTTTGCCTAAACCAATGTCCTGTAGCATTTGCTCTACGTTTTCTTCTAGTAGTTTTATAGCTTCAGGTCTTATGTTTAGTCTTCACTCCATTTTGAGTTGATTTTTGTATGTGACAAGAGATAGGGGTCTAGTTTCGTTCCGTGGCATATGGAGATCCAGTTTTCCATGCACTATTTATTGAAGAGAATGTCCTTTCTGCAATGTATGTTCTTGGTGGCATTGTCAAAAACCAGTTGGCTGTAAATACAAGGATTTATTTCTAGATTCTTTATATTGTTCCATTGGTCTATGTGTCTGTTTCATACCAGTATCATGCTGTTTTGATTACCATAGTCTTGTAATATATTTTGCAGTTAGGTAGTGTGATGCCTTCAGCTTTGTTCTTTTTGCTCAGGATTCCTTTGGTTATTCAGCCTAATTTTTGGTTCCACATGAATTTTAGGATAGTTTTTTCTAATTCTGTGAAAAATGACATTGGTATTTTGATACAGATTACATTGAATCTGTAGATTGCTTTGAGTAGTATAGTCATTTTAACAATATTAATTCTTTTGATTCATGAGGGTAGGCTGTTTTTCAATTTGCTTGTATCCTTTTCAATTTCTTTCATCAATGTTTTGTAGTTTTCATTGTAGAGGTCTTTCACCTCCTTGTTTAAATTTATTCCTAGGTATATTTTTGAAGTGATTATAAATGAGATTGTCTTATTCTTTTCCTCAGCCACTTCATTATTGGTGTATAGAAACACTATTTATTTTGTATGTTGATTTTGCATTCTGCAATGTTACTGAATTTGCTTACCACAGCTAAGATTTTTTGGTGGAGTCTTTAGATTTTTCTAGATATAAGATCACATTATCTGCAAAAAGGGACAATTTAACTTCCTCTTTTCTGATTGTTATGCCTTTATTTCTTTCTCTTGACTGACTGCTCTGGCTAGGACTTCCAGTACCATGTTGACCAGGACTGGTGAAAGTGTGCATCCTTGTCTTGTTCCAGTTCTTAAAGGAAAGGCTTTCAGCTTTTCCCCATTTGGTATGATATTAGCTATGGGTCACATATGGCCTTTATTATATTAAGATATGTTCTTGCAATGCCTGGTTGGTTGAGATTTTTATCACCAAGGAACGTCGAGTTTTATCCAATGCTTTTTCTGCATCTATTTAGAGAATGATATGGCTACTGTCCTTCACTCTGATGATGGCTATATCGTATCTTTTGATTTGTGTATGTTGAACCATCCTTGCATCTCTGGGATAAATCCCACTTAATCATGCTACATTACCTTTTTTGATGTGCTGTTGGGTTTGATTTGCTAGTGTTATGTTGGTAATTTTTATGTCTGTGTTCATCACTAGCCTGCCATTTCCTTTTTTTGTTACATTCTTGTCTGGTTTTGGTATCAGGGTAATGCTGGCCTCATAGAATGAGTTAAGGGGAATTGCTTCCTCTTCAGTTTCTTGGAATAGTTTGAGAAGAAGTAATGTTATTTCTCCTTTATAAGTTTGGTAGAATTTGGCAGTAAAGCTATTTTGTCCTAAACTTCTTTGTTGGGAGAGTTTTTATTACGGATTCAATCTTGTAGTTCATTATTCATCTGTTCAGGTTTTCTGTTTTTTCCTGATTCAATCTTGGTAGGTATGTATGTGTCCAGGAATGTATCTATTTCCTCTAGGTTTTCCAGTGTATTAGTATATAGTTGCTCATAATAGAATCTGATGATCTTTTGTATTTCTGTGGTATCAGTTGTAATGTCCTCTTTTTTTGTTTCTGATTTTGTTTATTTGGGTCTTCTCTCTTTTTTCTTGTATAGTCTAGCTAGGAGTTTTTTTGCTGCTGTTCATCTTTTTAAAAAAAAAACCTTTGTTTTATTGGTCCTTTGTATTTTTTGTAGCCTCTTTTTTATTTAGATCTTTATTATCTCTTTCCTTCTACTAATTTTGGTTTGGTTTGTTCTTGCTTTTCTAGTTCCTTGAGGTACATCATTAGATTGTTTATTTGAAATCTTTCTACTTTTTGACGTAAGCATTTATTGCTATACACTTTCCTCTTAGCACTGCTTTTGCTGTATCTCATAGGTTGTGGTGTGCTATGTTTTGATTTTTATTTGTTTCAAGAAATTTTGTGATTTCCTCCTTAATTTCTTCCTTGACCCAGTGGTTCTTCAGGAGCATGTTATTTAATTTCCATGCATTTGTACAGCTTCTGAAGTTCTTCTTCTTTTTGATTTCTAGTTTTATTCCACTATAGTCTGAGAAGATACTTGGTATAATTTCAATTTTTAGAAATTTGTTGAGACTTATTTTGTGGCTTAACATATGGTCTATCCTGGAAAATGTTCCATGTGCTGTTGAGAAGAATGTGTGTATTTTCTGCAGCTGTCGGGTAGAATATACCGTAGATGTCTGTTAGGTCCATTTGGTCTAAAGTGCAGTTTAAATTCAATATTTCTTTGTTAATTTCTGTCTAGATAATATGTCTAATGCTGAAAGTGGGATGTTGAAGTCTCCAACTATTATTGTATTGGAGTCTATCTCTCCCTTTAGATCTAATACTATTTGCTTTATAACTCTGGGTGCTCCAGTGTTGTCTGCATATATGTCTAGAACTGTAATATTCTCTTGTGGAACTGATCTTTTTATTATTATATAATGACCTTCTTTATCTCTTCTTACTGTTTCTCACTTAAAGTCTGTTTTATCTGATATTAAGATAAGTACTTCTGCTTGTTTGCTATTGGCTTCCATTTGTGTGGAATATCTTTTTCCATCCCTTTATTTTCAGTCTATATATGTCTTACCAGTGAAGTGAGTTTTTTTAGGCAGCATATAATTGGGTCATTTTTTTTTTTTTGTCCATTCAGCCAGTCTGTATCTTTTCAGTGGAAAATTTAATCCACTTACATTTAAGATTATTATTGATATGAGGGGACTTATTCTTGTCATTTTGTTCAATCGTTTTCTGGCTATTTTGTATATCCTTTGTTTCTTTCTCTATTATTGTTTATCATTGCAGTTTGGTAATTTTCTGTAGTGGTAACACTTGAGTCCTTTCCCTTCCTCATTTGTGTGTTTGCTTTACCAGTGAGTTTTATACTTTTGGGTGTTTTCATGATGATAGATATTGTCCTTTCACTTTCAGGTGTAGAGCCCTGGTAAGCATTTACTGTAGGGCTGGACTAGTGGTGATGAATTTCCTCAGTTTCTGCTTGTCTAGGAAAGACCTTATTTCTCCTTCATTTGTGAAAGATAACTTTGCTGAGCATAGTATACTTGGCTAACAGTTTTTTTTTTTTCTTTCAGTACTTCGAATAGGCCATTTTCTCCTGGCCTGTAAAGTTTCTGCTGAGAAATCTCTTGTTAGTCTGATGGAGGTTTCCTTACATGTGACTAGACACTTTTCTCTTGCTGTTTGTAGAATTTTCTGTCTTTGGCTTTTGATAGTTTGACTATCACGTGCCGCAGGGAAGAACCTTTTTGGATTTTATCTGTTTGAGAATCTCTGAACTTCTTGTTATTTGAATGTCTCAATTTATTGCTATACTTAGAAAGATTTCAGCTATTATTTCATTAAACAGGCTTTTCTATGCCTTTTGGGCTTCTCTTCACCTTCTGGAACACTCAAAATTTGAATTAGTCACTTTATGGTGTCCCATATGTCATATACACTTTGTTCATTTTTTAAAATTTCTTCTCCTTCTTCTTTTTTTTTTTTTTTTGTTCTGACTGGGTTATTTCAAAAGAGCTATCTTCAAGTTCTGAATTTTCTTCTGCTTGATCTAGTCTACTGTTGAAGCTCATGAATAAATATTTTATTTCATTCATTGAATTCTTCAGTTTCAGAATTTCCATTTGGTTCTTTTTAAGGATATCTATCTCTTTGGTAAATTTCACATTCACATCCTGAATTGTTTTTCCAATTTCTTTGTACGGTTTATCTGTGTTCTCTTATATCTCAGTGAGGTTTTTTTTTTTTTTTTTTTTTTTTTTTGAGATAGAGTCTCACTGTGTTGCCCAGGCTGGAGTGCAGTGGTGCAATCTCGGCTCACTGCAACCTCTGCCTCCTGGGTTCAAGTGATTCTTGGGCCTCAGCCTCCCAAGTAGCTGGGACTACAGGTGTGCGCCACCATGCTCAGCTAATTTTTGTATTTTTAGTAGAGATAAAGTTTTGCCATGTTGGCCAGGCTGGTTTCAAACTCCTGGCCTCAGGTGATCCACCCACTGCACCCTCCCAAAGTGCTGGGATTACAGGCATGAGTCACCGTGCCTGGCCAGTGAGCTTCTTTACTATCGTTACTTTTATATTTTTCTGGCATTTCATAAATTTCTTTTCCATTAGTATCTGTTGCTGGAGAATTATTGTACTCCCTTAGAGGTGTCATATTTCCTTGTTTTTTCACATTTCATGTGTCTTTACGTTGATATCTGCACATTTGGTGCAAAAGTCACTTCTAACTTTTTGGATTGACTTTCATAAGGGAAGACTTTTTCCTGAAGATGTATGTATGGTGTTAGTTGGTCAGAAAACCTTAACTTTGATTCTGGGTGCATGCAGGAGTGTAGTTTCTGTATTATTTCTTCAGCCGTAAACAGTGTCAGTGGTATTTGTGATCTTCTCAGTGGCTTAGGCTGCAGTTGTTAGTAGAGGCTGTGGTGAGGTTTTGTTGGGGATGGGGACACCATGTGAGCCAGTTCTCTGGCAGCAGTGGGCCAAGGGTATCTATCCTTGGGCCCCTGGGCAGTGTATGAGTGCATTGGCATTAGTGAGTCCAAGTGGGCCAATTCTTGGGTTTCCACGTGGCTTGCTCAGGTGCCAGCAGTGGCAGTGGTAGGCTGGAGTGTGGACAAAATCTCACACTCTTAGGCAGCATGCATAGCATGGATGATGGCCACGGCAGTGGTGGGACAACCCTGAGGCTCCCCAGTGGCACACATTTGTGTTAGCAGTGGCTGTGACAAGCTGGGTGGTCCAATCCCCAGGACTCCAGGTAGAACATGCAGGTGGGTGCTGGCTGTGATGGTGGCAACAGGCTGGGTGGGCCATCTTCAGGTCCCTGGCAGGAGTGCACAAATGCTGGCAGTGGGGACAGGGTGGGATAATCCCGAAGACACTGGAAGGCATGCTTGGGTACTGGGAGGGGGTAGCAGTGCCAGGCTGGTTGGGCTTGTACTCAGGGCCTCCTGTGCAGGCTATGGTGCACAAGGTGGGGTGATCCTCAGGCCCCCAGGTGGAGTGCTCGGGTGGTGGCAGCAGTGGTAGTTATAAGCAGGCAAAGCCTGTCTTCAGGGTGTGTGCAAGTGCTCTGCAGCCCTGCAGGGGGTGGACAGAGTTGCTGTCAGTAGCAGCAGGTGCAGGTAGGTGGCTCTCAGGCTCTGGGGAGCATAAGCTTCGGTTCCTAATGGTGACAGCTGTGGCAGTAGCCACAGCAGCAGTGGGAAGAGCCAGTCCTCAGGGTACATGCAATTGCACTACAGCTCTGCCGCTAGTTGGGATGGTGGTTGCTGTCAGTGGCAATAGCTTTAGGCAGATAGGTTTTGGGCTCTGGGAAGCATGCATTTTGGCTTCCTTTGTCCTGAGGCAGATCTCCCTGGTGCACTGCACTGCCTGTTTCCTGGGATACAGGATACTGTGTGCTGTAGTGCTGGGGCATCACACCACAGTAGCCCTCTAGGTAGATACAGTGGGATATCAGTGGGGCTTGAGAGATGTGGAGAC
Source organism: Homo sapiens (assembly GCF_000001405.40). Taxonomy (NCBI): domain Eukaryota; kingdom Metazoa; phylum Chordata; class Mammalia; order Primates; family Hominidae; genus Homo; species Homo sapiens. The sequence continues at coordinate 28,174,844 of NC_000002.12, read as the reverse complement.
GCAGGTGCTGTCAGGCCCTAGGAAAGGATGCTGTCTGGTGAGGGCTGGGCTCTCAAAATCGTACCACGCTACAGCTGCTTAGGACTCAGGGGATGCATGTGGGACCCAGTGTGAGTTCCCTCCTTGGACCAATTCCCTAGCATGGTCTCAAGGCAGCTCCCCATGTTAGTCTGAGAGCCTCTGAGGGTCAAGAGGCTCTCCCATGGCTGGGATTGCAGGACTCTGTGGTGGAAATGTGGACCCCTGGGGATCTCTCCCCCTTTCCCCACACTGAGGAGCCTCTCAGGGCTTCTAGCTGATCCCGGCTGTGCTTCCCTCTCCTTCCTTGCCTTGGGTGTTTCCTGCCACTTTTCTGTTGAATCCCAGTGTTCTCTCCTAGATTCTCTATTCAAAGTGTGATTATCTACTTGCTATTTTGGTTCCTCTTTGTGGAGGAGGCAAGTGCCGGATGCGTCTAGTCAGCCCTCTTGAAGCCTTGCTTTATTTTTCACCATATTTCTTTTATATATATATACATATATTGCCTGCCTCCATAAGAATGGAATCTCCACGAGGACAGGTATTTTTGTGTGCTCTGTTCATTGCTATATCACCTTTGTTTAATTAGTGAATGAGTGGCCTTCCCAAAGGTTTAGAACACAGTCCTACAGAAAGCTACATTTATGATTTTGTTATGAAGACTAAGAGGAAAATTAAAACTATTCAGAGAAATGTGCTTCACAGACAGATAAACTAGCTTGAGCGATTTTATTTGAATTGGCTGGAAGGTACCATTCTAATCAAAAGCAAGGGATCTCATCCCTCAATAACTTTTTTTTTGTTGTTTTTCACCTGAATACCTGTATATTTAGGGAATGTATGGTTAATCTTTATCTTGCCCTTCATCCTCCTAATTCTGTCAACCCTTATAAATCCTATTTATCAATCTTGTCTTTATTTTTTGTTTTCTCATGGATTATATCCAAGGTTTGAAAACTCAAAGGTCATGTACCAACCTGTACTATTGAATGCTTTAAGCTATCAGGACTTTTCACTGGCAATACAAAGCTGTCACTGATTTCTTGACAGTATACTATCAAACGACGAATTGATAAATCAAACAGAAAGGACAATATCATGTCAATCCAACATCTAGACCTAAGCTGAATTAAAAGTCTAAAAACAGCAAGGAAAGATTAGGGATGCTGTGGTCCCAGCATGAAGTCAGTCTGTGCACATTAAAGCCACACGCAGTGTGATCCTGAAGTCTTGCTCCCTGCTGCGCTCAACGGCCTGGGAGCCAGATTACTAGCACTATGCTGGGTCACTGCAGTTGCTTTTTAATGACTACAAGTACACCTCCCAGTGCTCTAAACCGTAGGACATCCCAGGATTGTCATTTTAAAAATTCTCTCCCTTCTCTCTCCCGGGGCTGTTTGGATATGGGGGACGAACTGGCAGCCTACCTGGTCCTGAGCTGAAGTCTTGTGAGGCCTAAAGGCTTGGACTACATGGTAAATTGTATGCACCAAATGGGGGAAAAGGTAAATAAAATCACTTATTTATATGTGGTTAGTCAGTTTTTGCCAAAAGTAAATTAGAGTCTTATCAGAAGTAAATGGTAACCTGTACCAGGGCAACCCCCACAAGGCTAACTCAAGGGAGGTGTTATGAAATGAATGTTTGTGTCACCCCAAAATTCAAATGTTAAAATCCTAATCCTCAGTGTGATAATATTTAGAGATAGTATCTCTGGGATGTAATTAACATTAGATAATGTTATGAGGGTAGGGCCCTGGTTCAATGGGATTAGTGTCTTTATAAGACCGGAAACCAGACAGTTCACAAACTTTCTCTGCCATAAGAGGACACGGCGAGAAGGCTGCCATCTGCAAGCCAGGAAGAGAGGCTGCACCAGAAACCAACCAGGCTGGCACAGTGATTTTGGATTTCTTAGCCTCTGGAACTGTGAGAAATACATTTCTATTGTTTAAGTCACTCAGTCTATGGCACTTTGTTATGGCAGCCTGAGCTGACTAATACACAAGGTTATAGATTTTTAAGGCTGCTTTAAATTGTAAACTCCCGGAAAGCATATTTGGAATGCTCTGCTGGTGATACTTTGAACTTGATGTTTTTCTTCTACTCAACAAGAAGGTACAGGAATACTCGTTCGTCCCCATTACACATATATGCACACCCACACCCACCCACGTGCATATACACACAGTACTCTGAGAACAGCCACACCTCGCTGAGACAAGGTTTTCTTCACAGGGAAACATAAGTTGATAGAAAGTGCAGTTCTAGGATACTTTGGGGAAAACAGACATGCCTGGGCAGAGTCCTGCAGCCCTGGACTTCTGACCCAGTCACTGTGTAGTGTGCTTCTTGTCTGAAGAAGCCACAGAAATCAGACAAGAAAGTAGATACACGCAGGATGGGATGTACTAGGGCCACACGGGGTGGGTAGGGAGCCATGAAACACACATGCATCTTCCCTGCTCTGTAACCCTTCAGAGGAGATCCTCCATACTCTCCTAAGAACCTGTCCTTGTTGTTTTGATGAGAAAAATTAACACAGTGAATATGGAACAATTAAAGATAGGGAGGACAAAACTACGTATATTATTGCAGATGATGTTCTTCGAAGTCCTAAATGAATGCACACATCTGATGATGCTACAGATCCAGAAAAAAAGGAATGATCAATTCTATTAAGGATAGTATGCTGGATTATACACACACACCACACACACACACACACACACACACACATTTCAAACAAAACAAAACAAAACACAGAAGACACAGGTAATGTTTAGCAGGGTTCCATTTCCTGAGTTCCTTTGGCTTCCATTCCCTTTTAATCACATCCCTGAAGTAAACTCTGAATAGCATATAACATATTAAGAAAGTCCTTTGTTCTAAAATTATACATACAAAGAAATTGAGTAGCCATTGCTTCTAAGCTGAGGGGAAGAAAATGAAATTAATTTTAAAATCGAAGAACAAAAGGTTTCAATCTATAAACTTCACTGACATACCTCTTAACAATCACTAAAAATGTTCCAGGTGCTACACATACCTAGGAGAGCCAGCCCACATATCCATGACATAATTTATTAATTAATATAGAGTTGGAAGGTACTCCAAGAAAGGGGTAAATGAAAATCTCAACCACAAAAGTCCAATTAAAAACAGGCATAAAGCACTAAACATGGAAAACAATCAGAACACAATGGATTTCCCTCCTTTCCCATGTCTTCAAGATAGTAAGAAAACAGGCTGCTTAAAAAATGCCTTTATTACGGGAAGATCTACTAGACAGGAAAGTAGGAAAGGACAGCCCGTCCCCTCCACTCCCTAGCCAGAAGGCACCATTCAGGGACTGATCCTCTCTTCATAGCAACCTTGTAAATGCACGCAGTGGTTGACCACCTCCAGTAGTGGGTCGCTAACCATTCCTGAAAGTAGATCATTCCAAAACAAAAAACATATAGGAAGTGCTTTGAAAGCTATCAGGTATTATCAGGATGTGAGAAACCCATCATCATCTTTCATCATTTGACAGACACGACTATTAGAACAGTAGTCTTCAATGTATGTACAAAGATATTCATCATTAATTGTAGTAAGACAGAAAGTAAACTCAGATCCATCAGTAAGGATGATTAAACAACTGTTATAACCAACTAGTGAATCTATATGGACTGATATGGTACAATCTCCAAGATATATATATATATATATTTTAAAAAGCAGACTGCAACGTAGTATGTACAGCATGCTACCATCCAAATGACAGAAAGGATATGTTCACATACCTTTGTATATTCATAGAAGGACACGCATACATAACTGACTGCCTCTGTGAAGGGGAACTGGAAGACGAGGGGACTCGGGTTGGAGGAAATGTACTCTGAAGCATATATCCTTTTATACCGTGTTCTTTACTTAAACATATTTTTTAAGAATCTGTAGTCCTTTTATCCTATTTGATTTTTCTCTACTTTAAAAAACGTTATAAGATGTAAGGGAGAAATTAATTTCTTGCAAAGTTAAATTCTTTTCCATTCTAGCTTCTATTCATGAATCTTTGTTTAATCTCTTAGAATGACAAAATACAAAATAATAACAACAAAAAGCCCTCTAATCCCCCTTTACAGCTATTCCTTTTATATGATTCTCTTATAGTTCATAAACATCTAAAAATAACTTCTTAAAAATGTGATACTATCAATCAAACATAAAGATATGGAGCATAGCTTTTAGCTATTTTAGGAGGAAATATTTCTTATATTTAATTTTTCTTTATTTTCAGTATTAATAGCTAAATTAATTACTTTAATGGCAATTGGTAGATGAAGTTAATATTCCTAGCTTTTTATATACACTAATTGTGATACTTTGACTCAGAGTAAGTCAAAATATTGGCTCTATTCTTTAAAGTATTTAAATGACATTTTTCTAAATAGAAATTAGTAGACATTCATTGCAGAAAACTTGAAAAGTAGACAAAGCAAAGAGAAAAATTAAAACAATACATAATCACACCACTCCAGAGAAAACCACTATTAATTTTGATATACAGATTTCCTTTTTAATTTCCAGCACATGCATGTATATATTATTTATATAATCAGAATCAAGCTGTATATATTGTTTTTAAAGTCTGTTTTAATAAATTATCACCCTCACTTATCTTTTGTTTGTAATTAAGATTATAAAACACGTTATTTATAAAATTTCAAATTTTAATTTTAATTTTTTCTGTTAATCTCTGACAAATGTTAACTAAAACAAAAAAATTAAAAATTTATTGTCTGAAATTCACAAACGGAAATAAATCTTAAAGAAACTTAAATAAACTTTCAAATAAATGTTTTTTGAAAGTTTAAAGCATTTATATTTCTGAAGTTATTAAAGCTTAAAACTATACTGGGACTTTTGGAATGCCCTGTATTATAAATATGATCCCAGGCTATGGTTTTTGTTTTTGCTTTTTTTTTCAATGACTAACAGGATTCTGTTATGCTGCTACACTGTAATATCTAATCCCTTATTACTGGATTTTTTTTTTTTTTTTTGAGACAGAGTCTTGCTTTGTTGCCCAAGCTGGTGTACATTGGTACAATCACAGCTCATAGCAGCCTTGACCTCTTGGACTCAAGTGATCCTCCTGCCTCAGCCTCCCAGGGACTACAGGCACGCCCTACTACGCCTAGCTATTGTTTTTGTTTGTTTGTTTTAGTACAGATAAGCCTTGTTATGTTGCCCAGGCTGGTCTCGAACTCCTGGGGTCAAGTGATCCTCCCAGCTTGGCTGCCCAAAGTACTGGGATTACAGGTGTAAGCCACCCCACCTGGCCTGGATATTTATATTGTCTCTTTTAAGAGGTCACAAAGAACATAAAAATTGGGGAATAAATGCTTGTCAGGTAAAAACACTCCACTCAGGTTAGAATTACAATAATATACTGAAATCCTAGAGCAACAGGTATGAAAGTATTAAAGGTTTTTAACACATATTGTTAAATTATCTTCCAGAATAGCTAAACATTGCCACCAATATTGGCACTACTTAGAGTAAAATAAAAATATCTTTAAAAATAAAAGTGATTTTTTTCCTCTTAACCAAAGACATTCACAATAATTAAAGTAGTATGTTTCAGGATTACTCTGTTACCACAGCTTGAAATAAATCTCCATGGTGTGGTTCAGAAGAGCTCTTTTACAAACTGACCCACAATCCTTACTGGAGTTTGGAGGTAAAGTTTTAAATAAGCCCATAATAGAACACAGTTAACCAAGTCTTTAACATGAGTAGTGGGATAACACATACTGGAGCTAAGCTAAGTCTTTCATCAGCTTGCTGAGAAGCTGATCACAGGAGAAGAGGCTACAGGTGGCCAATGAGGGAATAAGTAGCAGGACTCAGCCCTCACCTACAGTGTTGTTATCTTTCTGGAAGTTGGGTTGAATTAATTAATTGGGGAGCAGGGGTGAGACTAACTATCCTGCTCCTTGGGTAAGTTACTGGATCTGTGCCCAGATGGAACATGAAGGGAAAAAAACTGTGAAGACACTAATTAATCTTCCTGATGTTTTCAAGTCTGACTCGAAAACTTTCAACTAAAGGCAGGGCCTTCAAATCCATTTAAAATAGAAGTTTCAGTGATTAGAAACCTGATCGGAATGAAGCTTTTGGCCCTCTAAGAATGATAAGTAAACTGCTGTCAACAACGCATTGGACAAAAAAGGTAATAAAGGACCTTGGGCCATAACCACTTCCTTTTTATATGCCCCTCGCCTTTCAAACTTCAAAAGGGAGGAGAATTTGGCATAAATGAAAGGAAAAAATTCATAGCCACTAGGAGTGATCACAGCCCATACAAAGCAGATCGGGCAAGCTCCTATGATGCCACACCATGTCACACACAGACCTCCAGAAGAAGTAGGCTATGGCTTTTGAAAGTGCCAAATGTCCTCTGATTATACTACGTGAGTGAGCCTAGGAGAGATGGGCCTTCCAAGAAAATCAGATTCTGGCTGAATTATTCAATTTGGACAACGGCTATAACTTTTATACTAGCCAAAGAATAGAAAGAATATATTTTATGCATTCGACACAGGCAGTTCTGGCCCTTTATAATAAAAATGGTTCCACTGTGTGCTGGTGGACCCTTGTTAAAGGCAGCTTCTACGTCTAGACCACGGGAACACCTTTTAGTTGGAAGTGCTTTCCACTGGGCTCCTTGAGTTCCTCTGTAACAAAAAGCCCTTGGATGAGGAAGGTCCAAGAAAGTCTTTCCAGGTATTAGCGAAAACTCTCTTATTCAGATAAATAGAACTTGGCTCTGACATTTACTAGCTGTGTGGTCTTGAGAAAATTATTAACTTCTCTAAGCCTGTTTCTTCATCAGTAGTGAGGAAGATATTAATGGTACTCACCTTATAGGAGTAGAAATACAGATTAAATGAGAGTGCAGGAAAAACACTTAGCATCTGAACATCATGATTCTCTCAATTTTATAGGGAATATAGGTTAACTATTTTAGAATATATAGAGTAACCAAATCTTAGCCATCAAAGTGTTGCCTACCAAACAGACTTAGCAAACTGCGTTATTTATTTATTTATTTATTTATTTATTTATTTATTTATTTTTTTGAGATGGAGTCTCGCTCTGTCGCCCAGGCTGGAGTGTAGTGGCGTGATCTCGGCTCACTGCAACTTCTGCCTCCCGGGTTCAAGCGATTCTCCTGCCTCAGACTCCCTAGTAGCTGGAATTACAGGCACCCGCCACAATGTCTGGCTAATTTTTGTATTTTTGGTAGAGACGGGGTTTCACCATGTTGGCCAGGCTGGTCTGGAACTCCTGACCTCAGCTGATCCTCCCACCTTGGCCTCCCAAAGTGCTGGGATTACAGGCATGAGCCACTGCTCCCAGCGCAAACGGCATCATTTAAAAATAACCCGTTATTAATAAAGATTTAGAAATAAATACATTTATGAAATCCTTAAGGATGCTTAAAAATGTTTTCCTTGATTATGCTACTTACATATTTTCTCTGAAATTGTTTCACTATTCATTGGTCACCAAGTCCCTTCTTGAAGACAAAGGCAAACTTCAGTACCTATCTATATAACTAGTGACGGTGCAAGTATTCAGTCTGAATGATTCATATGGAATTAGTCACACAATCAGAATGAAGAACATATGCATAAGTGAGATTCTATTAGCTGCAGAAAACTGTCAATTCCTGAAAAGTTTATCTTCTCCAGCATTCCAATCAAGAACCTTTTTCTCTTTTCACACTATATTATCGGCAACTCATGGTTTCCACACCCACCAGCATGTTAACACTAAAGCTATATCCAGTCTCAATCTATTTCCAAGTCCCTAATCCTAAATTTCTAACTGTCTCTTGGATATCTCCCCCTGGGTGTCCAGTAGGCATTTAAAACTCATCAGGGTCATGGCATGAAATAGATGGCACACTGAAAGGGGAGATGGAAGCAAGTCTGATGAAGGCATTCGTTATGAGGTTGTAAACAGCGTAAGAGAAATCAAAAAGAGATAGAGAAGCACCCTAGGGCTGGCAACAAAGGAAAGGCATTACTTATCACTGGGATCAAACCAAAGATAACTGTAATGTCATGAGCGGGGCTCCCAGTGGAGTTGTGGCCATAGGTAGAAGACTCAAACACAGTCACGCCAGTGCAAAGAAGGGAGGACGTCAGGGGTAAGAGACATATCCCTCCTTACTCTCCTTCCACCCTCAAATCTCTAGTTGCTGAACCCAATCAAAGGCCAGAAGGTAAGAAAGTTCATTTTGATGCAGCCATCCAGGGCACACACCAAAGTGAAGCGGTCCAAATCCAGATTTACTAGTTTGGCATCCACCCCTCCCCCTACTCCCCCAAAATGTGTCCTTCCTGTGGTATTCACTATTTTGGTTGATAGGATAACTCGCTAGAGTAGTTTTTGGTCACTCAACCTTATTATCATGACCTAGACCTCTGCAGCTCCTACTCTCCTACTGCAGCATCTCCTACTTCAAGTTACTCTTCTCTCCAAGCCAGCATCCTCCATGGACTCTAGTTATCTTTACAAAACTTAAACCTTGGTGTATTCACCTCCTAGGGCTGCCATAACAAAGTACTACAGACTGGGTGGCCTCAACACAGAAATTGATTTTTCTCACAACTGTAGAGGCTGGAAGTCTAAGGAGTCAGCAGGGCTGGATTCTCTTGAGGCCTGCTTGGTTTGTAGATGGTTGTCTTCTCCCTGCGTCTTCCCTCTGTGTGTATGTGTGTCCTAATTTCCTCTTATTATAAGGACATTGGTCATATTGGGTTAGGGCCCATTCTGATGACCTCATTCTAATCTAATTACCTCTTAAAGGCCTTATCTCCAAAAACAGTTATATTCTGAGGTACTAGGGGGTTAAGGCTTCAACATATGAATTTTGAGCAAACACAATTTACTTCCAAAGCATTTTCTCTGCTTAAAAGCCTTCAGTGTAGCCGGGCACAGCGGCTCATGCCTGTAATCACAGCATTATGGGAGGCTGAGGTGGGTGGATCACTTTGAGGCCAGGAGTTCAAGACCATCCTGGCCAACATGGTGAAACCCCATCTCTACTAAAGATACAAAAATTAACTGGGTGTGGTGGCACATGCCTGTAATCCCAGCTACTCAGGAGGCTGAGGCAGGAGAATCCCTTGAACCCAGGAAGCGGAGGTTGCAGTGACACAATATCATACCACTGCACTCCAGCCTGGGTGACAGAGCAAGGCTCTGTCTCAAAAAAAAAAAAAAAAAAAAAAAGCAAGGAAAAAAAAAAAAAGCTTCAGTGCCCCTTCCCCCACCATTTTCTCTAAGACATACTCCAGATTTTTAAACTTGGCATGCAAAATGACCTTAACAACTTGGCTACCCAACTTAGTTTTCCAGCTTCACCTCTTGCATCTGCTGTTTTTGCATTCAGATATCAAGCTCCCCGAACCAACCATACTTTATACCTCCTCACCTCTGTATGTGCTGTCCTCTCTCTGTAGAATCCTCTCACATGTCCAGTAATCTGTAAAGTTATTTTTGATGCCTGAGGCAGAGCCAATTACACCCTTCACATTCCTCAAAGAAACTTGAACACCCTACTATTATAGTATGTATCACCCTGAATTGCAATTAATTCTTTACGTCTTTCTCCCGCAGTACACTGGCAATTCCTTGAAGGCAAAGACGATGTCTGTTTTTGCTTATCACTGATTCCTCTGCACCCAGAACCGTACCTGGGACACAGTAGGAGCTAAACAAATATTTCTTGAATGAAGGAAATGAAAAAATAAGTGAAAACATGAACAAACCAATAAAAGGGGAAAGGGTTTCTCTTTTGATACCTAGTACAGTGGTATGGTACTCACCAAACTTAAGAATGTACTTAATAAATGATTGCTGAATAAAATCCTGACTGAAGCATACGGGAAAATCTGAAACCATGAAGGGATCTGGAGTTATTTACTTTAAGAAAAGTTATGGAAGCTGATTATCTTTGGGGTAAAAAGGAAATGGATTTTTAAAAGCCTATAAACTTCAGGGAAGAAGCGCCAAGATACATGTGACAAGGCAATCTGAGCTCCACTCAGATCCAAGAACAAAGGGTTCCTGGTTTAAGCTATGGAAGTATCTGTTCCAGAAAGCAGCTGGGCAGAATTTCCTCACACGAATAGCTCTTAATGTATGGGAAAAAGAAAAGAGCAAAACAAAACAAGCAAAGGCAGCAAAAGGGAATAATTAGTGTAAACAGTTTAGTTTTTTTTTTAATGCATTGGACAAACTCCAAGAAGGAAAAAAAAAATGTTGTGGGATAAACATCTGTTCACTCGGAACATGACAGAGCCCTTGACAGGCTCTGCGGCCTGTGTGTGTCCTTATGTGCCCGAGGTTTATATTTATGCTTCCACTGCTCAGACAGCCCACAGAGTGGCCCAGAAAGAGAGACCTATTCCAGGCCAGGACGCACTCCTCTAACTCCACGTGGGGGTGTAGGGGCAACTCTCATTCGGTTGTGTTTGACACAACAAAAAACACACTGAAGGGAAGAAGAGCAAATACCAATTGCACATGTGGAACTGCTCTACTCCACCTGCACTGGGTTCCATCAACACTGTATTTTATTGACTGCACGGAATGCACAGAAGTGACCAGACACCACACGTTTATGGGGATTAGCACTGTCTTTCCATCCCTATGATCCTTGGTATCAAGATGTTAAGTGCAACAAGTTGTAGGAGTCTGTTTTCTTGTGCCAGATGTGCCTTTTGCAATCAGTCACTGAGTCTAGGAGTTTCTAAGAAGAGAACTCCATGAGAAAATTCATCTTCAGTTTTCAGTACCACCTGATAGTTTCTAAGAGGTGCATAGCAGTGGGCCTAGAGATGAAGCCAGATGGAAATGATCTAGCAATGTGCAATGGGCAGTGCCCTGAGGAAAACACCCACAAGGGGTGGATGGCCTCAATTCTCATCTCCATGACGATAGATCACATTACCTTAGAGCCTTGGGCCACGTGAGTCCAATTCTGAGGCCTCTGACCCAGCTCCATCAGCCCAGCCGATCTTACACAAGTCTCACCCTTAGGAGTACATTGTGTTAAGATGGGGACAGATTGCCTCACCCTTACCTTTCTTTCTGGCTGGGTTCACAACTTCTCTTGCTCTATCATCCGATTTACTCCATTTTCTCTTCCTAAGGCCCATGGCTCTCAGTTTTTCATTATTCTTATGGCATTCATGTCTAACTCTGGCATTCTATTAGATATCTGGCAGGGGTGACTGCCTTTTGCTTTTCTCCTAGACCTTTGTCCCCAGCACCATGTGTACATTTTCTGTGACCTGCCTCAAGACAAGAAAAATGTTCTTTTTCTCCCCTTAGGCATAAAGCTCTCTGGGTCTCTAAAGTCTCCCTGATAGCCAGCTACTGACTTACTCCACATAACACAAGAGGTCACATTTAACAGAATTATTCTGAGAGTGGCCAGTTGGGGCTGTTAAGAAAACTAATTCTCAAGCTGATCCTGGCCCACCTGCTGACTTGGCTGGAAGAAGCGCTGGCACCCAGAGCTTCACACTCAGAAGAAGGTCATGGGGGAAGCAGGGTGGCTGCCGGCTGGGAGGCATCTGAGGAGAGTGAGGATTTCACTAGGCTGGCCACAAAAGATGACACCACCGTCTTTTTTCGGGGGGCACCTCATTCTATCTGTCTACACACAGATATGCCTACACCCACAATAAAAATGTTTATAAATAAAAATATTTGGTACTAGTTTTGATTTTCTACAGAATTGGGACTAAAAAACCAATTTATTCTTACACTTGTGGATTAAATGGTAACTCCACAGTTTAATTTTATCTGAAAGGGGGAAAAAAACTGACATCTAGCAGTTAAACATGTCTTTGTCACTAGAGGCCTATGACACAAATCTCGATGATATTTTATGAGAACATGTATAGCTTTTCTCCACTTGTGGCTATAATTGCTGTTGGAGAAGCCCCAACATGTAAAGGTTGATGCTTCTGAATGTGCTGAAAGATGCTGGAACTAAACCATGCAGTGACAGCTATCAAAATGTCACCAATGCAGTGTCATATTCAGTCAAGATGCTTAAAAATTCAAATGTTCAACTAACACTGCTCTAGTGTGCGAGGAAGAGCATTACCTGGCTGGTTGGTAGGGAAATGAAATGAGATTATGTGCATAACAGCACTTAGGAAGAAGCCCGGTGCAGGGTTGGCTGAGCTAGGAAGAGCTATCATTCGCTGGGCACTGACTCCATAGAGTAGTGTATGCCAGACAGTAGTCTCATTACACATGTTTTAATTCAATTAATCCTCAAAACTGTGAAGTGGATACTATCCTCATGCCTGGGTAAAAGGTGACAAAAAGGAGGCTAAGAGAATACCCAGCTACTTAGTATTGGAGGCTGGATTCACATCCAGGTCTGTCTGACTTTGGAGTCTCTACTTTAACCGTTACTTAAGTTCTGGTTTCTCAAAGCATCCTGAAGAGAGCCATGTACATTTCAGGTGCCCTTTGTCTTTACTGTCCCGGTGTGAGGTATGCGCTGCAGGGCCTAGCAATGTACTCTCTTTACGTGGGCCTAAACACCCACTGGTATTTTTAAAAAGACAAAATACGGTATTTCAAGTTTCTAAATAATTTTTATTTAAACAATTACAACTCCTTGCCACTTGCTCATTAATTGAAAAGGTTTCATTTGAAATCACTAGTATTTATTCTAGGAATTAGTAGTTAGTTTGAAGAGAAGGTTGCAGTAGCTAAAATTTAAATTTATACTAATTTAGGGCACAGGAAGCAGTATATAATATAGTGAATCATGTTTCAAATGGAAAGCAAACAAAAGAGTGTCCAAATGTTTCATCCTATATCTATCAGAGTCCATTTCTGGTGCTAAATAAAATAATTAAAGATCTCTGCCCTCAGTTTACCCCAAGTGCAAAATGAAAATAGTACCTCACTCAACAGATGAGTGATTAAATTAGCTGCAGCTGGGCCAGCTTGGCATTAAGTAACTGCTGTGCAAGACTTTTTGACCGCAAAAGAGCAAAGTGGAGGGGAACAAGAGCCAAAAAGGACACACCCACCCATTTGCGCTCCCTTTTGTATTAGGAATGCAGGGCCTCAGCATTGCCCAAGGGGTTTCAGGGTAAGATGCTGGACAGGTCTGATAGACAGTTCTGGCTAACCCTTGCTTGAAAAGGGGAAGAGTTTGGGTTCTAAGTAGCTCCAGAATAAAAGGAAGAAGGGTCTTTGAGACACTTTGGGAGTTTGAGCCAAACCAGAGACTCTGAAAATGGGGAAAGCAAACTGGAATTTCCTTGAAGGCCTATCTCTAATTTCTACTTTCTACCTACCCCCAACCCAACTCTTGCTCCCATCCCCATTCCCATTCCCTGGAGTCATCTGACTGGAAACTGGCTCAAGCTCTGAGTGAGTCACTGGTTGACCCCAGCACCTAGACTCCTGGAGCCCCCCAGGAACCCTAGGAGACACAGTGAAGCCCGTTGGTACAAGCAACTCAAAACAAGAATGTGCCAACTTCCCAAAAAAAGGCAATGGTTGGGCATGTGCTCTCTGCTCCACAATGGCATTCTTCAAATGCTTTATAAGCCACTTAAAAAGAAAACTGCCTACCCATAATTCCCTGAAGACGTCTGGCTGGTTTATGCAATTTCCCAGTTATGCATCTTTCCTGTAAAGGGAATCTGTTGGAAAGCTGGCTCTGCACAATTGGGAAACTTGGGACCATCATGATTAATCATTAATAAATTCACAGAGAACCTCGCCTCATGGTTTAACTCTGCGGTAGTCTCCAGAAAATTTGAATAAATGATTCTAAATATTTTTTAAAAGCATAGATAGTAGAAATCTTCCATGTACTTTCTGACAACTCTTATACAGATTACAAATTTCTGTACTTTCCACACTCTCCCAGGAATCCATTGTCTCTAACACCTACCAGACTGCATCCTTTGCCCATTTGCCCACACTCACTATTTCATCCCACCTACCTACTCTTTATTTAAAAAAAAAAAAAAAAAACAATTTATATGTTCCTTTCTATGTTCATTTAATTTAGTTTTCTGGATCCATGTGTATGCAGTATTTGCACATGCTAGATGCTAGTGCTAAAAAAAAAAACATTAAATATTTAGGAAGTACCGCCCATGGGTTCAACTTTTTATTAGGAATAATGAGAGATAATACAAAAAAAGCCATATTTGTGTGATCGTGTGCATTGCACAAGTATGTGAATGTGTGGGTGGTGACTGTGCATACGTGCACTTCTGGGGGCTCCCTTAAATTACTGCCTCTGTAGCCTAATGCTGTGGCTGACTGAACAGAAGAAAATGTTCTCAACACAATGTATGATAAGATAAATTAATACATACCTGGATAGGTGTCTGAGGAGCCCGAGGAGGATTAGCTATCACATAACCATACACTAAGCTCCATGCACGGGCCCAGCTAAAAAGAATATACTAAAAACCAATCATGGCCAGGCGCAGTGGCTAGTCCTGGAATCCCAGGTTTTTGGCAGACTGAGGTGGGAGGATCCCCTGAGGCCAGGAGTTCAAGACTGGCCTGAGCAACTTAGTGAGGCCCCAACTCTACAAAAATAAAAATACTTAGCTGGGCATGGTGGTGCATACCTGTAGTCCCAGCTACTTGGAAGGCTCATGGAGGAGGATCACTTGAGCCCAGGAGTTTGTGGTTACAGTGAGCTATGATTGGCCCATTGCACTCTAGCCTGGGTGACAGAATTAGACTCTTTCTCTTCAAACAAACAAACAAACAAAAACCCAATCATTTTCTGGGTTTCTTTCAGGATGTAAAACCCTTCCAGATTATTACCTTTTACCTAACTAAATTCTGGCAATTTTTTTTTTTTTTTCCCGGCGGGGATGGAGTTTTGCTCTGTCGCCCAGGCTGGAGTATAGTGGTGCAATCTCGACTCACAACCTCTGCCTCCTGATTCAAGCAATTCTCCTGCCTTAGCCTCCTGAGTCGCTGGGATTACAGGTGCTTGCCACCACGCCCAGCTAATTTTTGTATTTTTAGTAGAGATGGGGTTTTGCCATGTTGGCCAGGCTGGTCTCGAACTCCTGACCTCAGCTGATCCACCCACCTTGGCCTCCCAAAGTGCTGGCATTGCAGGTGTGAGCCACTGCATCCGGCCAATTCTGGCGATTTTAGAAACATCCATATTGGTCTACTCACAGTGCCCTAAAAATGCCAGGCACCCTCTTGCATTCATGCCTAGTTCACATGTCCCTTCTGTCTGGAATGACCATTCTCTCCTTTACCTCCTGGAAAACTTGTATTCTTTCTTCAATGTCTTATTCAGATGTCACCCTTTCTTTGAGTCCTTCTTGGACTCCATAGCAGACAGAGCTCACAGCTCTTTCCACTGGGCTGCTATGGTTCTACGTGCACACCTCTATTACAAAATTCATCATGCTGTCCAAGTTAGTTACTTCTGTGCCTGACTCTGCCAGTAGACTCTACTCTTCTTGAGTGTCGGACATCTTCAATCTTATTCCATAACCTCCCATCCTGACTTAAAAAGTGTCAGTAGACTGTCTGACATGTCATAGGCACTCAAATAAATGTTGTTGGTTGAATGAATGAATAATGACATATTACACTAGTTCTTTAGAAACAAACAGAAACTCCTGAAATTGAAATAAGTGAATTCCCTCAGAATGCAGGAATTTGAGATAAAATGTTTTATCCTTTAGCCATTTAAGTGAAAAGAGAACTTGTTGATGATGTTAAAGTTCCAAAAAATGCTTTTCATACCAGTAAAATTTCCAGACATGCATTAAAGCAGAATCAAGGCCGCCAGACAGCTTAAACCACTGGCGATAACTTCAGACAGAGAAAGAAAGGGCAAAGGCATTAATGAGAATGAACAAAAATTTCCTACTCTGCCAACTTAAAATCTCTTTTCAATTTAGAAAACCTCCCACAATTCCTGTGTAAAAATTCAAAGTGTAAATCACGCAATAATTAACAATAATGCAGGCAAAAGCTGCATTAGATAAGTAAGATTAACAAGTGTAGTAGAAGTCTCAAGCTATATTACATAGCCTTATTATAATGCTGAAAGAAGGAATTTGACTTCCAAACAATGAAAGAGACAAACAGCAGAATGGTCCAAGAAATGGAGAATACAAATTCAAGCATGGATATTGCCAATCCTAACAGATGAACATTCCAAGGAGCTCATACTGGTACTGAGATTTAGCATGGTGGCAGATAGTCCCACTCTGAAACCACTTTTGCTGCTGGTAGTTTTAGGGCCGCCATGAGGCATAAACTGAGGAGCTACCTTATTACTACAACAGTGTGTATTTCAGTACTTTTTAACTTTCTTGTGTTGATGTAGTTATTCAAGTGGTCATTTTTGTTTTCCCTTTGGATCTGTCTTTTCTCCCTATGTAGCCCTCTTCATTTAGAGTTTATTGGTACAGTTTTACTATCTTGCTGATTTAAACCTGATATAAACATTTTGTTGTTTTTATTTTTGAGTTTTTTTATTATTAGGTGAGGGTGAACATTGTTCTATGTTCATTAGTTGTTTCATTTCTTCTTCTGTAAACTGAACAACATTGCTCTTTTACCTATTGAGATTTTAAGTCTTCTGATCAATTTAAATAGAAATGCTGTTAACTTTTTATTATATTTGTGATCAATATCATTCCAGTTTTTTAAATAGTTTTCATGTTATTTCTGACACATAGAAGAAAAGCTCAGCTTGCATGCTTGGATAACTACTCATGATTATATCATTAGTAGGTGGGATATCAGAGATTAGAACCCAGGCCTGCCTGACCCCACAGATCAGGTCCTTAAATAATTTGTTGGCTGGGCACGGTAGCTCATGCCTGTAATCCCAGGACTTTGGGAGGCCGAGGCTGGCAGATCACGAGGTCAGGAGGTTGAGACCATCCTGGCCAACATGGTGAAACCCCTCTCTACTAAAAATATAAAAATTAGCTGGGCATGGTGGCGCATGCCTGTAATCCCAGCTACTCAGGAGGCTGAGGCAAAAGAATAGCTTGAACCAAGGAGTTGGAGGTTGCAGTGAGCCGAGATCGCGCCATTGCACTCCACTCCAGCCTGGTGACAGAGAGAGACTCCATCTCAAAAAAGTAATAATAATTTGCTGAACAGGGTTAATACATTTGGGTCCAAACTTGATTGATGATATGTAGCCATCATTGAGGATTATCAGTTAATGTATTTTGTATTTGACTTTGTTGTAGCTGTCTATTTTTGCTGCTATCAAAGCTTGTTTATCCATAGCAGCCTGTCTACCTTGAATCTGTTGTCTCATATATGCTAGGAGTGTAAAAATAAGCTAACTAAGTTTGCCAAGGCAGTATAAAACAAAATGGCTGACTGCATTTTAAAAATGGGGTGTTTGGCTCTTCAGACTTCCTTTCTTTAAGTTTAGGGATCAAGGTCCTTTTCCAGGGTGTTGCTAGGAGTCTCACCTTTGGATAACTGAGGTTTTTCCAGGACTGGTAATCTGACCTTCATATAGTAGGCACTTGATAAATGTTTGTTGAAGATAATGATACTTTTCTTTAGTTTTCTAAATTGCCCAGGAAAAGCTTTCCCAGTCAAGATTAGAGACACAGAAATTTTCCACACACAGGTAAATAACTGGGAAATTATTTTCATAAGGAAAAAAGTCTTACAGTTTTCTGTAAATAAAAGAGCATCCTATTTTCATTCTCACAGAAGTCTAAAAATTATAGACCAATACATTTGTTTTCTAAAGAGAAATATGTAATTCACTTTAAAGAAAAGTTGGCTGTGAAAGAGATTTCTATCAATTAAATTGAATGGTGAATCATATTTTCCCATTAAGTTCCATTTAAAAATTTGTAATACAGAATCAAACTTGGCCTTCTCCTCAAAGATGTCCCTAGACTACGTATATTCATTTAAGGAAAAAGGCAATTTTTTTTCAATTCAACCAATTAAAAATGTAAATAAGTCACAAAATCAGAATTCCAAATAAGCCTTAAAATTCCATATGTCTGCTTCATTGAGAGTAGACCCTACTGTAAAATAAGATAAGCCTTTTATGCTCTTTGCAATTAATTCTATAATCCTTTCTCTCTTAAGGTAAATATTCCTTTCTAAAAGTCTTCTAAAATTAATTATTTTGTAGGATAACTCCTGATAGCTTATTTATAATGCTGGGGACAACTGCTCAGGAACTATTAATAACTTAGTATTCTTTAAATAGACTATGAAAAACTGTAATTTACAAATATTTATAACTTGCTTATTCTGTGACTAATACCTGCCAAGCTTTGTAGTCAGCAGTGGGTATAGAAATATAAATAATATATAAATAATACATGGTCTCAAGAATCTCCCAATTAGTAGCAGAGAAAGGCAGACAATTAATTTAAATTCATATCATAACAATTATTATTGAGCACAGACAGCCATGTAGAAATACAAAAAGGGGCATTCATAACTGTCTGGTAGAAGGGTGCTAAGAAATGCTTCAGAGAGGAGGTGACATTTGCGACAAATCTTGTGGGAGGAGTAGAAATTAACTAGGAAGACAAAATTACAAGCACAGAAAAACAAAATAACCTTCCCACACTAACTCTCTTAACTCTGGGCAAACAAAATCGGAAAAATATACCTGTTCTTACCCCAAAAATAAATTTGCAAGTATTGGAAAAAGAAGCATTACTAATAACTACCATAATTTTATTAACAAATCTAATCAAATTACTCTACTTTTCTTCTCACACAGAGGAGGTGATCTAGTGAATAGAGGTAAATATTTTTCCTAAAATGTAAGTACCTCATGTTATGAATTATCCGTGTATGCAACAACTAATTTCACACTTCCTACTAATTTCCACCTCCTAGAATCCAAAAGGAAGCCCTCTGGACCAGCAACTGAGCTGCCTGTGGCTGATAACCCCATCTGGTGGTTGGTATGGGGAACTGTGTGGTACAGGGTTTCCATCCTTCTACTTTTCTTCCCAGAAGGAAAGAAAATGCTGTTTTTTCTCACTGTCTCTCCTTTTCTCTTTATAGCTCATTATCTCCAGCACCTGGCCCTCAGCACACAAATATTTGTTTTTAGATTCCCAATAAATAGTTATAGAACTGAGCTGTTTTGAATAAGAAATCATTAACACAAGGCTTTTCCATTTTTCCTAAGCACTTTTACATTTATTACCTCAGCACTTTTAGCTCAGTCACCTTAGTATGAAGATGAAGAACAGTATTGTATAAGTCATCAGGATTCTCATCTGCTTGCATTAAAATACGGTGTACTCCATAAGGAGATGACCCCTCTCTATCGATCAATTATTTATGAATAAATGAATAAATTCCCTATCCTTTTCTCTCCAAATTCTTAACCTGGTACCTTAAGAACTAACTGTTCTTCATTTTATTTGTAAGGCAAAAGCCACCATAAATCATCCATTTGAGTTGTGCTAGTTAAACATATACTTGCAGCTGAGCAAACGGAGGGTAAAGATTGTGATAATAAAGAACTATCTACTTCTACAGCTGTTGAGGTAGTTTTTAAAAAGAACTCAAATATTCCAGAAGTCTCCAAGTACTTTTTTCTTTATCTTTTAATTTAGCCTGCCTTTTCTGAGGTGCCGACCTTCAAGATTTTTTAAAACTTCAATTTTATTTTTCTGTAATGTTAAGTTACTTAGGTTGCAAAGGTATTAGTTTACAGAAGCAAAAGAGAGAGAAGAGAGATACAGGAAGAATACAGATAAAGCAAATGGAATAAAATTTAAAAGGTAGGAATAGCACGGAGATACAAAACAGGGTCTGTGAAAGACTGATTCTCAACTATAAAGTGTATTCATATACTTGTTTACTTAAGAAAAGACAAAAAGAACACAAATATACAAACTCTGTTAATAGTTACACTGTTGACATATCTCCCATAGCCACATTTTCTGAGCCATTTTGAAGAAATCTTTTATTTAACCTTTTCTATTCTCAAGTATCTTGTCCTGTGAAACAAAAGGACCTGATTATATGATTTTTAACGACTCTTCTAGCTAGAAGTTTGCTGTTGTTGCTGCTGTTTTGAACATTCTCTGAGTCTATGAATGATTTAAAAAAATACATAAAGAAGGGCAAGGAAAGGAAAGGCAAATGAAGGCACCAGAAGGAATATAAGATTTCATACACAGAAATGTAAGAAAAATAATGCTTTCCAGCCTAACACCTCTACTTATTAAAGGCATTAATTAAAGTAACCAAATGTGGCTGTTTTCACTCAGGATATACCCTGCAATGCCAAAATAGCAACCACCTTACCACCACCACTCCCCTGTTCCCCTAAAATCAGAAATGTTTCCTTTGAAATATTCGTGTTTCTCCAAGTTGAATGTGTCATTATCCAAAAGAAGTCTCTAAGCTAAACTTCCATATTCAGCTTCAGGTTTTGAATTCATAAAATGAGGAACTTAAAACTGACCTCTCTTGCCAAGGTGTTGCCTATTTTGTTTAATATGGCACTTTAAGGCCTTCAGTTTTAAGACACTTGAGAAGTACAAAGTATCATTATGTTAATTACTATTATTATAAGGCTCCAGAGCTTAGGTGAGCTATATGCTAATGTCTAATGTACTCAGTAGTGATCTACGACCCAGGAAGGTGATTTCCAAGCATCACATGTCAGTCTATTGTCCTTGTGTAACTCCAAAGAGCCACACACAATAGGCAGAAGCAGGCACAGTGACTTGGGCTTTGATAATATTGCTGGAGTCCAACTTTCTGTGCAACTCTGCTGAATACTAAGAAAAATATGACCCTACTCTTTCCCCTAAGGGTATTCTTTACAGAATTCAAATCAAGATAGACCACAGAAAAACCAAAAACTCAATCGTGCATGTCCCGGAGAAAATTAGGTAGTAACTCCTAAATAAATCAGTACTTAACCAACTTCAAGACAGATATTCCTAAAGTTTAGTGTGTGTTCAACTACCTATGAAGCTGGTGAAAATGCAGATTTCTGAGCCCCTAAAATTCTGATTTGGTAGGTCTGGCATGGGTTCAAGGAGTCTACACTGTTAACAAGTTCCCAAGGCTGATGCAGGTGGTCCACTGACAACATTCTTGAGAAGCACTGCTTTGGGGTTCCAGGAAGCCTGCTAATAAAATAGCAAAATTCTGATTCAACACATTCAACAAAAATTTAGAGGTCTCAAAGACAGCAATACCAAGTGTAATGTATTAATTTTTACCACAGTTTCTATAAAGCAGCAACTTAAGAGGCTAAGATTTGGACTACTAGTTCCAAAGTTTTGACCAAAGACAAGTTGAATTGAGAAAATGTTTCAAAAATGCAATGTCAAGAAATCTATATGTATATGAACAAAGTAAGGCAGAAGAAAAGACTTTAGATAGCAAAAGTGGTTGTTATACATTTTGTATTTTCAAATACACCAACTAGCAGCTTAGAAAACAGATGTGGCAAACAGTGGACCAATTTAAGGCCTATTAAGTAAAATACATAAGCAAAAATAAGCCATTTATGAATAAGCTTCTGTAAGGAGGAACATCCAAGGAACAGGATCTGAAATCCTAATACGTCTTTGCATTCTTAAATGCTAAAGTCATGGGGGAGAAAAAAAACAACTCCAAGTGAAATGCTATGAGGTGTTAATGTATCAAAGTGTTACTCACTAAGAATAACACATAAAACTGCTCAAGTGATTACCACAGGGTTTTATTACAAAGACAAATAGGGATACAAGAGATATAGCTAAATGAAGAGGATGGCTTTGCAGAACAACAGAAGAACTATCTACCCAACCCCAGCCCCCAACTAAATTAAAGACTGAACCACTGGCAAGAAAAAGCATATAAACTTCCTATAAAACTCCTGGTATAATCACCAGCGAAATGAACTGGATCTGTACTTAGGGCTCAATGCCTAGTAGCCGATGACCATCCTTTAAGACTCAGCTCAAATCACACCTCTTCTGTGAAGTCTTCCCTTCCTTAACTCAGCAGGAGAAATTTCCCAGTGACTACAACATTGGCTTTGGTATTCAGGTATTGTACTATTTTTATAACCAAAATACCAGTATTTCTGTTGGTGGAGTAGCATGATTTCAGAATGGGTGAGCAGTGTCATTCATCCTGAGCTCTCTCCAGTTCATCCCCTGTGCCCATTCCTGTCTCCCCAGCCACTTACCCAAGACACCTTCACAGTAAAACCGAGGAAGACTCCCAGCTCCTCCTTCCCGTTATCAGCTCCTGCAATTTCCCCTCCCTGCGCCAAACCCAAAAAAGGCGGAGGTTAGACTTGGAGGAGGAGAAAGATCCCTTGAAGTTGAGGGAACTCTTCCCTGGGAAAGGGTTGACCTAGAGAGAAATCAAAGCTGGTACTGAGGCCACCAGCAAGAGCTGAGAAGCTGCCAGAGGATAGCAGTGGCCCTGAAAACTCCACAGCCCTGTTGATCTGGTGTGGAAATTCTGGGAGGCCCAGGGCAGAGGGGCTGTGGTCAAAGCTCTTAGAGGCACATGGCTCTTCATTCTCAATTGTTTAAGGCAAGTTTGAAATCTTGAAGAAATGGATTGCTAAATTTCAGATGTGGCTCTTTGGGGGATAGAAAAGGGGTGCTATAGACAGAATGTTATAGCTTAAAGGCCTCAGGAAAGCATCTCCACCTGAGTTTATTCTTACATATTCTAACATGGTAGATTTAAATCATCCTTTGAAATAAAAACAGCCCCCTGCAGAACTAGGCTTATCACTTATTCACAGTGCCATGTAAATAATCCAGTTGTCACCCCATGCAAACCTGCCCACTCTCTGGTGAGGTGTCAGTGCCCACGAACAGTGGGGGAAAATCTGTGTGTGAAGACTACCAAAAGGGGTTGGATATCTCAAGAAAGACCTGGAAACTCTTCTCTCCAAGAAAAGATTTGAATTGAATTTTCTATTTAGGGAAATCCAGAGGTAGATAGGTAGCAAATGCTAAAAGTTTTAATTTTAAGAAAGGGACCAAATGTTATCAAAGCATTTCCAACTATCTTGCTCTAATTTATTGTTATTCTCATGCTTGTATTAGTAATTAGTTTTAACTCACTATTGAAGAATTACTGTAGAAAAACTTCACTGTAGAGAGGGAAGGGATGCTTTTTTCTTTTCTTTTCTTTTCTTTTTTTTGAGATGGAGTTTTGCTCTTGTCGCCAAGGCTGGAGTGCAATGGCGCGATCTCGGCTCACTGCAACTTCTGCCTCCTGGTGGGTTTCAAGCGATTCTTCTGCCTCAGTCTTCTGGACAGCTGGGATTACAGGTGCTTGCCACCACACCTGGCTAATTTTTTGTATTTTTAGTAGAGATGGGGTTGCATGTTGGTCAGGCTGCTCTCGAACTCCTGACCTCGGGTGATCCACCTGCCTTGGCCTCCCAAAGTGCTGGGATTACAAGCATAAGCCACCACATCCAGCCTCCTTTGTTCTTTTTTCCTAGGTATTCAATGCCTCAAGAGGAGCTGGTCTGGCTGGAGCATGTAGGCATAAAACAGGTACCAAAAATCATCTTGAGTCAGCAAAAAGAGCTGCAGGTATAGTATCTGAGAAATTAAAAACCTCATATATGTTTACTTTAGAACCTACAGAGTAAAGTCAAAAATCCTAAGTATCTTTTAAGAGCCTCAGTGCACTTCATCCATCATTAACTACTATCGATAACCATCTTACCCACAAATCTGATTAGAACGCTGCCTTCTGGCCTCTTAATTTCCTTAAAGAGTCAGAGCTGTGGGAGCTATTAACTTTAGGTTCCCTATCAAACTATCATTGGCAAGGACATTGAGTAGCGAGAAGCTTTTCATCATTCTCACATTGTTTTTTTTAAAAAATACATTTCTTTAAAGATAAAGAATGAAACTGCAGTTGCTGGGAGGACCATCCAGTTCACTTCTCATGTTTTACAAGTGGAGGAATCCAGAGAAGTGAAGTGACTTACCAGCCTCGGGTCACCTGGCTAGAGTGAGAGGTAGAAACCAGCGCCAGAACACAGAAGTCCTGACTTCACTGGCTGGCGCTCTTCCCTAGTCTCACGGTCTTTCCAAGAGAGAAGCACAGCTCTTTCCAAGCAGCTTTCTAACTGCTCAGGAGAGGGTGATGTCTACGAACTGGTCCTCCTTCAAGAGCCACTAAAATACTTACAGATTGCCCCATTTAGTTTACCTTAGTTCCACTTAGTTACAAGTTCAAACTTCTATCAGAACATGTGTCAACAGTTCCATGATCTTTAGAGGAAAGACAAGGGAGTGAGTTCTCTCTTTTCTGGCTGTTGTCAGGAAAAGGAGATGGCAGTACTCCAGCTTTTTCCCCCTCCCCTCTGTATTGCCATGTATCCAAGGCATTCTTTTCTTTATTACTGTAAGATACCCTGCAAAGGGCAAGAGGAAGCCATGTGGGACAGCAGATAGAACATGAGACTTGGAATCAGAGAAGGCTAGATTGTAATATTCCCTCTACTTTTCACTTGCAGGGTAGCTTGTCTGAACTACAGACAGACTTAGCTTGTCTGAACTAGAGTGTCTTCACTTGTAAAATGTAAAACATCGCCTACTCCACAAGGTTTTTGCAAGGATGAAATGAGATTCTATATGCAAAGCACCTAGTACAGTGTCTGGTTTGCATGAGCTCCTCATAGAAATTAGTTTCCTTCTCTCTTCTGCTGTTATGGTTAAGATTCGAGACAAGTAATTTAACCAGTTAGTCTCCCCTATATAATGGAAGATAATATATACTTCTGATGAAAAGATACTATGTAAAACAAAATATGATTTTAACCATCAAGATGAATACCTGGAGGCATTAATTCAATGTATAAAATATGCAAAGGTACCAATTCACTAATAAATACACTATGGCAGGAGCTTGTCCCAAGATGCCAATTTGCTGAAGCGAGAGGTACATGCTAGGGCCAAAGTGCCAGGGACACTGACTAAAGCAGCCAGAGAAGGAAGGCTACTACCCTACTAGAGATGTTCAGCACTGAGTAAAATCCCAAGACAGCTAACAACCACCCATCAAGAAATAAGCAGAGCTAAAGGAAGTGGCAACTGTACAGGCGTGTGGAGTGATACGGTGGAAAGAGCGCAGGAAAACCGGGCCCTGGAAACCCTGTGTTCTACCTCCAGATCTGCTGCCAGTGGATGTGAAAGTTTGGCAAGTCCTTTAAAATGCCTGAGTATTCATTTTAACTCTGGAAAACAGAGATGACAATGCCGGCCCTATCTAGCTTGCAAAGAGAATGTGCCTTGTAAAGTAGAAAGCACAATATAAATGTAAAGTTAAACTACTGTGATTGTGCAAATATACAAAGATAGGAAACAAAGGACTAAACTAAGGAAGCCCCAAAGGGTGACAACAAGACGGGGGAATGAAGGCCATCACTCTGATTAGGACACCAGGTGAAGGTTCCAAGGAAGTAACACCAAGGAGCTGAGTCTTCGTACCCAGTACTCAGTGTGTAGACTACCATCCATTATACCAAGGGAACAGGGCAGCACTGGTTATAAACAGGCACAAGAAACATTTAAGTTATACTCGGCTTAATTTTTTTAAAATACAATAAAAACACTACAGTAATAATGCTGTTACCATTTCCATTCCTTGTCTTTGGAATAGTACAATGGGCTTAGCATTCTCTCTTTACTGTGATGAGTGACATATTCTATAACAGGAAAATGCATTGCTATTAATAAGGAACCTAGATCATGGGGCCATAAGCTTTTGTGGACAAGCCCCACACCCAGTTTGAGCTGGTCGGCTTTTCCTGCGTGATACTGGGTCCACACAGACTACTTGGAGAGATGATCATTTATTGCAAGGATATTTGAGAACACGAGGAACAAAGGCAAGCACTTTGTGTGCACTGTGCTCACTCTGGCTCCAGCTCTCCTGGCTCTGGGATGTGGACTGGGTTTCATAAGCAAGGAGGAAAAGTTGCTTAGTGCTGTTCCAGGTAACGATCCAGAAGTGAGTGACAGTACAGCTCTTGTTTGCCCTGCATGTCTGTTACAGAGAGATCTGACTTGACTTTTGGGCCCTCCTGGTATATGGACTTGTACTGGGTGAACTGAGCAGGTCCAATCTGCTGCAGCTAGATCACTGCTAGCTCCTGGCCCATCCTCCAACAAGGCGAGCTGCCCAACTGACAGCTACAAAAAAAGAAAGAAAAAGGATTGGGTTCTGTCCCCCAAAATGTGGTTCTGCATGTAGCAGGCACTATGGCTTGATGGACTCCTTCAGTACATCCAGTTTCCTTGGTAACCCAACTATGTACTAAATGGTTTCCATGGCAAAACACGTTCCAGAGTCCAAATAACCAACCTACACATACAATTTGGAATGCAACTTATTAGTGGGGGGCTGCCTGCACTTGAAAAAATGCATAAGCTTAATAAACAGTCCTGGTTACCTTATTGTGGCACCAAAGCACATGCCTCTGAGGAGCCCATTCAAAGGGCATCACATCAGGGAAGGGGCCAGGGAGTGGGAGAGCCAAACCTAAAGTGTGCCAGACTGAGCAATGCGATACTGTTTCTGCGGTACACAGTATTCCAAGAGATGAGATCTTGATCTGAAAGTAATGGACCTGACAACCACAGAATAAGAGTAAAGTATTTCTGGCATTCCTAGAAATCTCTTCTAAGAACTGAAATAAGATTCTCAACCTTGAACAAGGTGTTCAGTCTACAATTTGGAACTCAAAGGAAAAGAAGGTATTACCTTCCTTTTCAGTTGGAGTGATAATATCCCATTAGGGGGTGTATGAAATGTAGGGAGGTATATTAAGTGGTCTCAATCACTAAGGGGTCATTCATCCAGCAGGCAAGGACCATGGATGCCAGATGTCCAAGAATGCACTGGACCATATCACAAAACAAAATGAGTACAACATCCACGTTGAGACATGTGTCCTATTACTAAAATAATTTCCTAAAGGGAGGCCGGGCGCAGTGGCTCACGCCTGTTATCCCAGCACTTTGGGAGGCCGAGACGGGTGGATCACGAGGTCAGGAGATCGAGACCATCCTGGCTAACACAGTGAAACCCCGTCTCTATTAAAAATACAAAAAATTAGCCGGGCGTGGTGGCGGGCGCCTGTAGTCCCAGCTACTCGGGAGGCTGAGGCAGGAGAATGGCATGAACCTGGGAGGCAGAGCTTGCAGTGAGCCAAGATCGTGCCACTGCATTCCAGCCTGGGGGA
Source organism: Homo sapiens (assembly GCF_000001405.40). NCBI lineage: Eukaryota > Metazoa > Chordata > Mammalia > Primates > Hominidae > Homo > Homo sapiens. The sequence continues at coordinate 28,147,510 of NC_000002.12, read as the reverse complement.
CAGAGTGAGACTCCGTCTCCAAAAAAAAAAAAAGATTTTCCTAAAGGGAAAAATTATAACTTTTTAATGTATTTCTTGCTACTTGTCCTTTCTTCTTTAAAACAAAAAATTAAGGGGAGGAAAAAAAATCTAAATAATGTTTTTAAAAGTTCTTAATCTGTTTAATGAGAGTTCTATCACAAAGATGTGAACTTAAGCAAATGATGTAAAAGAACATTAAGAATGATTTGTCAAAATGAAGAAGGAAGCAACTTGACTTTCTAAGACAGGACAGCACAGTGTGAACAGAGGCTCCATTCTTGGGCTTGGGAGAGTAAACCTGTCATGGCACCTACTGTAACCTTCGAGTTCAGAATCCTGTGGCCCAAGGTCAGGGACTACGTAGGCCTGCTTTTCACTCTGCAACTAACTTAGATTTTCTGTCTTACATGCCAGTAGTTAGTGATTATGTAGAGGGAAGTCATTAAGTGCAAAAATCACTCATTTCAGATCTCCAAAAAGACTACGGAATTTTAGGTCTGCGATGGGCAGATCCTCCAGACCCTACTCTCTTCTGCTCCTAGTCCAATTTCAGGTTTAGGTTATTCAGAAAACTTCCTTAGTTTCAGTACTCCCTTCGGGGGTCCTGAACACTTTTAAATCTGAACTGAACTGAAAAGTCCCATATTAGCTTTTCTTAAAATTCCTAGAAATGGCTGAAAATTTTATACATGAGAGTTCTAGAGATTAAAATCCAAGTCAGGATCAGAATGGATTTGCTAGGGGGCTGAAAATCCCCTAGGCCTCCAGTTCTGACCAAAAGCCCAGTTCAGCCTCAAGATCCAAGAGACTGGGCAACATCCAGAGTCACTCAATAGTTGCAGCCACTCAACATTCTACAGTGGCCCCACTGATGGTACATCCTTTCATATTTTATTCACCACTCATGTTTCCTTGTCTGTGATTCATGTTCATGGTTTTTTGCTCACTGTCTATCAGATTTTTTGCCATTTTCTTAATTTTAAAGAGTTCTTTATTTTGGATATGAATCCTGTGCCAATTATTTTAGGCTGATAATTTGTATTTTTAAATGCAATGAGACTATGAAATGGCAATTTGGATCTGCTATCGGGGACATAAATGATCTAATGTAGGAAATGCTAATATGCACATGGAAAAACTTTAAAATATGATGAGGGTAGGAAGTAGACAAGAATTCTAGCCAAGAGGAACTTCAACAAGTGAGCTTAAGAATAGTCTGCTGACTTCAAAGAATATCATCAAGAAAATGAAAAGACAACACACAGAATGGGAGAAAATATTTGCAAATTATGTATCTAATAAAAGTCTAGTGTCCAGAATATATAAAGAACTCTTACAACTCAATAACAAGAAAAATAAAGCAACTTAAAAATGGGCAAAAGGTCTGAATTGGCATTTCTCCTAAGGGATTTGAAAATATGTGTTTACACAAAAACTTATTAACATGAATATTCACAGCAACATTATTCACAATAGGCAAAAAGTGGTAACAATCCAAATGTCTACTACCTAATGAATGGATAAATCAAATGTGGTATATTGATATACTGGAGTATTATTCCACAATGAAAATGAATGAAGTATTGATACATGCTAAAACATGGATGAACCTTGAAAACATTATGCTAAAAAAAAGAAGTCAGTCACAAAAGACCACATATTGTATGATTCCACTTACATAAAATGTCCAGAACAGGCAAATCCATAGAGACAGAAAGTAAATTAATAATTGTCAAAGGCTGGAGGGTTGGGGAAAACTGGGAGTAACTGCAAAGGGTGTGGGATATCTTTTCTGGGGTGAGGAAAGTGTTCTAAAATTGATTGTGGTGATGGCTGCACAACTCTGCAAATATACTGAAAACCACTGAACTGTACACTTTAAATGGGTGAGCTGTACAGGAATTATAGCTCAATAAAACTACTAACAAATAAATAAAAGAATAGGCTGAGGCAAAAAGTAGTGAAGGAAAGGGAAAGAATGACAGAATGCCTTAAACCCAGGGTGACAATTAATTTTAGGTTTCTGCTACAGTGTATTTTCCTTTGGCCCTTAGTAGGTATCTCTAAAAATGAGCAGAAAACGCAACTTGTAAAAGGCAGTGAAAGTCAGGAAAGAGAGGTAATATACAAAGCCAGGAGTCAGGCAAGGGGAGGCTGGAGCCAAATAGCTGAAAAATGTAAGGGTCTAGATTTAAACAGCAAGGGCTGAGACAAAGGAGAAGAGATGCGTATTTACAGATATAAGAACATGCAGGGCATCCTCCCAGCTCTTTCTGTCTGTGCTTCATCTTTCTCCTTTGTTTCATTTCTGTCCAACACTGTCTATAAGTCACACCACACTGGAAAGATCAGTGATTCTCAAGTGTTTAGTAAGTATATAAATCACTAAGGGTACTTGTTAAAAGCACAGGTTCCTAAAACCACACCCAGAACTTTAGATTCAGAATGTGGGTGGCCCCAGAAATCCACTTTTAATCAAATCCCAACCTCATGTTGATGCAGGTGCTGTGAGGACCACACTCGGAGCACTGGTGTGTGACCTCCATGGTCCGGAGCCCCCTCCAAGGAACTAGTGGGTAGCATGTAAGACCAAGGACTTTGGAAGCTAACAGATCTGGGTTTGAATCCTGTTATTGCCACATACTCATTGTTGACCTCTGACAGTTACTTAACATCTGTGTGCCTTAATATCTCCATGTGTCTTCAGACCCAAAGGTCTATTGTGCACACTGAATAAAATAGTGTTTGTAACAGGTTCAGCACAGTGTCTTCAGTGTCGTGGCTTCTGGATTGCTCTTGTCTGTGATTCTTGTCCCTGGCCAGCGTATCACTGCCATGGCCGGTGGACATCTCACTGCTATCTCAATAAAAACTTTAGAGAAGGAGCCTTAATTCAGAGTCAGTGGATCCCTAAAGCATTTGGGCTTATATACAAGCAAGTCCATGCATGTTCTGAAGAATATGCAAGATTATCTGGGGGTAGAGGGAGTTGTGGATGGTTACAGCTATCATGAGATTCTCAAGTTTGAAGTGGGGTTGTGACTCAAGCAAAGTCTAGAGCTGACCCCTGAGAGAAATATTTAGTCCCTCACTTCAGATGTCTGCTTCTACATTTTCCTCACTAGTTTATCCTAAATGAATTCAGGTGACTGGTATTACCTAAGGTCCCTGTGCACAGTATCTAGAGGGAATTTCAAAAATTGGGGTCCCTGAACATTTTGAAAGAAGGATTCAGAAGAAGATGTTGATGTTGATGATGATGACAGTAACAGCAAGAACAGCAACTTATAATACATCAGGTATTTACAATGTGCCTGGCACTATGCTAAACACTTAAACACATTCTCTCATCTAATCCTGGCAAAGATTCTATGAGGGTTCTAGACAAAGAAACTGAGTTATACAGAAATTATGTAACGTCCAGTAGTTCACACGACTACAAAGCGGCAACCAGGGCTCAAACCCAAATGTTACCGCAAAGCAGTGGTCTTAACCAGTGTGTGCCTTTGCATTTCACTAAAGACTTTATCATGATGGGAGGGGCAGGTGGGTCAGGATAGAAGGTAAAGAGGCTGTTGAGGGTAGAGATGAAGTTCTATTTCTGAATGAACTTCAGAACTCAGGTAAGTTTCTGATCCTTTCTCTGTTTTGTCACCATAAAATGGGGGCAACAGTGGCAACGAACCTCATAGGGTTGTTGTGAGAACTGAATGAGCTAACAGGTATAGAGCGCTTAACACATGTGGCATGAGTGTTCATTGGTATTAGCCACTAGTAGTATCCAGCATCAGTATCCACATACATATATTTTCCTATAGAAATAGTTAATATGGTTTTGATGTTTAGGTTTTTTCATTTTTTCAATTGTATATATTTAAGGTATACAACATGATGTTTTTGATATACATACACATAGTAAAATGATTACTATAGTAAAACAAATAATATGTTCATCACTTTCCATAGTTACTTGTGTGTGTGTTAAAAGCACATAAAATCTACTCTCTTAGCAAATTTTCAGTATACAATATAACATTATTAATTATAGTCCTCATGCTGTATATCTGATCTCTAGATTTATTCATCCTACACAAACTGCAAGTTTGTATTCTTTGACCTACTTCTCCCTATTTTCCTACCTCTTCCCCACCCCTGGTAACCACTGTTGTACTCTCTGTTTCTGTGTATTTGACATTTTGTTTAGATTCCACATATAAGTGAGATCAGGCAGTATTTTTCTTTCTATGCTTGGCTTATTTCACTTAGCATAATGTCTTCCAGGTTCATCCACGTTGCCTTTATGAAGGCTGAATACTAGTCCATTGTTTTATATATATATATATATTTCTTTATCCAATAATCTGTCAGTGGACAATTAGGTTGTTTCCCTACTGATGATCATTTCAGTTGTTTCCACCATTTTCACCCTTAACATTAAATTACAGGGCCAAGTTAATCTACACTTTTAAGAAAGAGTTTGAAAAAAGTAAATGAACAATCTCTGGTGAACAACTCTACCAGGGTGGAAATAACAAAGACCAATCACCAAAATATCTATCTACACACAAATATTCTGAAGGGTTTTCATATTGAATGAACACAAAAATCTAAAATTTTAAAATATCATGCTCCATAATCTGTTTTTTTCAAGGAATAATATATGATGATATTATAGTTAATGAATCCTTAAAAGCTCTCAAAATAATTTCCTTTAGCTTTAAAACACATTAAATTGGTTGTGCTAAACTCTGACAAAGTTAAAGTTAGGAAAAAAGTACTAGGTCAGAGGAGGAAATGAAAACATGGAAGTGTTATCACCATTTGGTCATAAACTCCTTTTCTCAGAGAAACATGGCTATAAAAATCTGTTCCAGGATAAAAACTTGGCACAAAGAAACCCAATCTGACATCATACTTTTTAAAGATTAGGGTGGAGTAGGGAGAGGAGGGATTAAAAAGTGGGAGGGAAAATTCTTTGCATGCAGGGAAAAAAAGGTTGTCAGTAAAGTACATTTTCCACTGATACATATAACTTCTTCAAATTAATGGTTTGGCTCAGCTGAAATTTGCCAAGGTAGATTTCAGGCTTTTTCAAAAATGACCTCTATTTTGTTGAAGCTGTCTATAAAAGAGAATGTTCACAGACAGGAGGTTCATTCCCTGTTATGGTCCTATTTGCAATATTATGTTAACCCATCATTTGTTTTGTTTTAAACTAAAGGCTTCCCCATTCATTAAGTCATTAGTGTTGCTAATGAAAGACAGCGTGTCTGAATTTTAACAAGTCTAGAAAAACTCCAATATGATCATTAATCCCTCTATTACAGGACTCAAAATCAGACATACCAGGATCAAATTATATGCTCTTTAATAAAACTTCACACAGGAAAATCTGAAAACATTGATGTTAGACCGTTCCTCCAACAACAGTGTACAGAGCTCCACTTCATATATGAATTTTACACATTTAAGAGCCTTAGTCACTGCCTACTTACACCAAACTTGTAATCAAGAACCATACCATTACTTTAGATACTAAATAATTACCTTTTAAAACCATGCTGTGGACATAACATACCTTCTACAGCAAAGATGAAGTAGAACAACTTTATTTTTAAAATCCACCTGACATACCCCCCATCCACATTGATATTCTGCCCTGAAAACTAAGTAAATGATGCTTTATTAATATAACAAACCAATCATTGATCATTGTCTAGATGGAAACATACTGATATGAGAAAATCATGGAAAATCTGAGAGCTAGGGGCCCTGGAAGGACCAGTGCTGTGAACAACATGAGCTTAATGAGGTCATGGTCCTAACACAAGAGGAAAGCTCTGAAGTGCTGGTTTTAATACCCTAGAGCCTTGCTCCTTCTGGAATTCTTCTGTCCCCATCATGAAATAAATTAGGAAACCTAGGTGTTTGTGTTGGGTGGGGAGGCATCAGAGTAGGAGAGGTCTTCATGAATCTCTCATTCTGCAGTAATAGGGGTAAAAACTGCTTCCTAACATCAGAATTATGTTAGCTATCGAGAGCAAGAAAAAAGTTAAAAGTGTGTTCTTATTTAGGCAAATATCAATAAATATGAACAACAGAATTCTTGCAAAAATGATCATCCATTATATATCCTTTATAACAAATGTTCCCAATCTGTTGGCCTCATGGCATCATGGGGGTTTAGGGTTGCTAGAACAAGTTTACTAAATGATCACACACCAAGCATTATTTGAAGACTGAATAAATGCTCTGTGTGTGTGTATGTGTGTGATATATACACACATATACATATATGTGTATGTTATGAACCGAATATTTATGCCCCCAAAATCCACATGTTGAAGCCCTAACCCCCAATGCAATAGTATTAGGAGGTGGGGCCTTTGGAAGGTAATTTGGTTTAGATAAGGTCATGAGGGTAGAGTCCCCATGATGGAATAAGTACTTTTACAAGAAAAAGAAGAGATATGAGGGCTTCCACTCTACTGTGTGAGGATACAGCAAGAAGGTGGCCATTTGCAAGCTAGGAAAAGGGTCATCACCAGACACCAAATTTATTAGCACCTTGATCTGGAATGTTTTAGCAACCACATTGTGAGAAATAAACTTCTACCATTTAAGCCATCCAGTCTATGGTATTTTGCTATGGCAGGACAAGCTAAGACAATGCATATGTATACATATGTATATATACACACACATAGCTACATATATCTTTTATACACACGTGTTAGGTGTGTATGTATGCACATATACTTACAGCACATATACAATATGTGCATATATACATGTATATATGTATTTGTCTTTCAAATATATACTTATACTGTTGTGATTAAAAAATACAAGTATATTTAAAAGGCATTTTGAATTCATTTATTAATATGAAATGCTAAAAGTATTACTTCTATCCCTAGGGATCTATGAAATGCTTTTGAAATTTATTTTTTACCCATAGTAAAATTTACTCTTTGTGATATACAGTTCTATGGGTTTTGACAAATATGTAGAGTTGTATATTCACCGTGACAACAGAGAATAATTCCACCATTCTAAAAAAATTGCCTTGTCCTGCCTCTTTGTAGTCAAGCGCTTCTCCTATGCCCATATAAAAGGTTTTGACATTAATAAAAGGTCCTCATACTTGGAAGATATTGGAATAATGGTCTCACAGTGTTGATGACCATCTGTTTTATAACCTTAAGCTACCTTTTTTATACATTGGTTTCTACTTCCATCAAGTGTCTGACATAAAGGATTGAAGGGGAAAGTCACTGAAACAACAGGATAGGAGGAATTAGAGACTTAGAGTTCAGACTTCAAGATAGTACAAAGAAATAAATGCTAGAACTTGAAGATGGAAGAGATATAGGTAGAAAAAAAAGAAATATGCCTGAGAGATGCAGGAAAAGCATTGAGTTGGATAAAGCTGATGAGTGATCATTTACGAGGAAAAGTAATAAACTCTGTTTATTACAAGGAAAAGTAATAAACTCTGTTTTTAAGCAAGAGAATGATAGATCAGATTTGTGTTTTCAGAAGACTACTCTGTCTGTAATGTGGCAACTAGACTGAAGTGGGGAAAAAGGAGATGCAGGGAGACCAGTTACCAGTCCTGTTTAGAGATGCTAGTAGCTCAGATAAGTCATCACAAAGGATAGAAGTTTAATATAAAACCACAAGAAGTGAAGACAAACAGGAAAGCATTTCAACAGCTACACAGCTAGAATATCTCTAGTATGTCATTCAGAGCACATCTGCAATCCCAGTCAATCCTTGTAGAAAACTGGAATCATCAAGACACAATACAGAAAGACATCTAGCAATATGGCTAACTGGATAACCTAGAGTCCTCCTGCAACAAAACACTAAGAGGTGTTGAATAAATTTTTTTTATTTTTTATTTACTCATTTTTTTTGAGATGGAGTCTCACTCTGTCACCAGGCTGGAGTGCAGTGGTGCAATCTAAGCTCACTGCAACCTCCATCTCCCAGGTTCAAGCAATTCTCCTGCCTCAGCCTCCCAAGCAGCTGGGACTAGAAGCGCATGCCACCAAACCCAGCTAATCTTTGCATTTTTAGTAGAGGCAGGGTTTCACCATGTTGGCCAGGATGGTCTCCACCTCTTTTTTTTCTTTTTCTTTTTTTTTTTTTTTTTTTTTTTTGAGACGGAGTTTCACTCTTGTCGCCCAGGCTGGAGTGCAATGGTGCGTTCTTGGCTTACTGCAACCTCCACCTCTCCGTTCAAGCGATTCTCCTGCCTCAGCCTCCCAGCTAGTGATCCCCCTGCCTCGGACTCCTAGAGTGCTGGGATTATAGACGTGAGCCATTGCGCCCAGCTGAAAAAAAATGTTTAAACATAGTTACACTTCCTCCAAATTAAGAATAATTCCCAGGAGTACCTATCCCTGGTCCCACTACCTATGGCTTGGGTATCTGGGGCACATGGTCCACAGCAGGCTGTGAGTGTGGTGGGCACTGAGGCTTCTCAGAGAGAACAATGTCATATGCAGTTTTCCTGCATGGTCTGTCCTGTAAAGAGGCATAAAGGCTGTTGTACCAAGGAAGTGACAGGGATCAAGCTCTGTTTTATTGAGATTAATCTAGCAAAGAATAAGATACTTAGAGGCTTGAAACAGGCTGGGGCAAGGGTGAGGAGATGAACATGAGAGACGACACACAAGCAAAATGAACTGGCAATTGATTAGATATGGGAAGCAATAGCAAGAGGTCAAAAATAGGATGCCTGGGTTTCATGGCTAGGGTCATTAGAAGGAGGGTAAAGCCATTAATGAAAATAAAGAACATGGGAGAAGTATAGATTTGGGGGACAGGAAGACAGGAAGTGTTAGATGATAATTCACACTTTAAATATTACATATGAAGATATAATGACTATTCTAGCATGAGACAATATAGAAGACATTAAAAATGCAGAACTGAACTATAGAATATAGATCCTTAAATGAGGTTTAGGAATTGCTTTAGGGGAAGGTGCGTTACTCTCCAAACTATATTTAAACTTTTTATGCATATATATTTTTCTAGGGTGAAGTCTATGGCTCTCATTAGATTTTCAAAGAGGTCTGTGTCAATCTGCTATTCCTTTAAACATACTGTGTCAACTTTGGTTACTGTTAATCTCTGGTGTTGTACAGTTTCCTTACGATATGTCTAGGTGTCAATTTCTTTTTATTTGGCCTGTTTGAGATTCACCGGACTTTCTCAATCTGAGGGTTGATATCTTCCATCAGTTCTGGGACATCCTGGGGGCATTTTCCCATCTACTTTCTGATTTCTTTGCTCAATGTTTTTGTTAACTAGCACTTTGCATCTCAGACCTTCCACTGAGGAATGTTTTCCTACTTGTGAATAAATATAAATGAACAGCAACTGCATAAAACAGTAATGATCGGTGTGAAAAGCTTTGCTGTTAAGAAATAGTGTTAAACTGGAAATCATGAATTTCTCATCTTCACGGCAGAAAAAAAATCTGCACAAAACCCTTGAGATGTTTTGCAGAAAGGTGCTAGGCCTGATTTTTTAAATTAAGATATAGTATATCTTATAGCTTTAGACTAATTATTATGCTGTAGAGAGGAGTATAGCATTTAAGAGAAATAAGGCATAGAACTTCCCCAAGACTCAAAATAAATTTAAGACAGAACTTAAGGGTCAAACAAGTTTAAGAAACATGTACCAGTGAGATTTGAATTATCACAGATTTATATACATCTTCTTTCTAAATGTGTATTTTCTGCCTAAAAAGGAAGCTAGATAAAAACACTGAGATATCACTAACTTAAGTGGCTAGGGAGGTGGGAGTTCTACACCAGAATGTTTCCAAAAATATGATATTTTGGGGCTGATTGATTTTCTCCCCCAACTAAATTCTGTTCTGGTTCTTTTTTGTAATATTTCAAAGCAAAGGCTGAGCTCTTGATCTTTTGGGAGGCACAGGCAAGACAAAAGGCCAAACTCACTAATGAAAACTTGCTGAACTTACTTTTCAGAATTCCATTCTAAGTCATGAAGAACCCTTTTGGCCCTGCTCCCAGACTAGTAAAACGAACATCTCAAGTCCCTAGAGGATAAGACAGCTCTCTCTACCAAAATCAAATACATATCTTCTCCTGAGAGCTGGCTGTCTTAGCATACTCAGGACCATCTATTTATCAAAGGACTAAAGAAAAAAACTCTCCAGGAGCACAATATTTATTATAGGATTATCTCAGTGACTCGAGAAAACATGAGTAAGGCTAAATTAAACCATGTTTACTATTACGTTCTATTACTTAAATCCTGACACAAAATCAGCCTAAGAGATCTGGAAGGTCTCTTTTTTGAGAAGACTGATACGGATTTTTTTTCAAGGCAAGAATTTTTTTCTTTAAAATCTATACCTGTTAGTTATACAATTTTTCTCATTGTTTTAAAAATATTTTAAGCATCTAAAATAAAAATTTTCCATTCTGTTAAGATATCAAATTTGGTGGTAAATAAAATCACATATACCAATATATTTAACTTGCTTATTGCTTTTAAAAAACGTATTTGATCCAATTTATCCGAATGTAATATCCTTACTCATTCATAATTTTAAGTAGTATTATTTTAATTTTCAGTTCCCCTCACCCTTTCCCTAGGTCCTTTAGCCAAGTTTCACTTTATCCCAGCCCTTGTAGATCCCAGGCTATCCAAATATTCCAAGAGACCATGTTTGCTGCCAGGCACGCTGTGGGGTAAAGGCAGGGGAGGGGAGGCTGGAGACGCCAACAGGACTATATTAGGTCACATAGGTCACAGAAGATCAAAGTCATATTCCACCTCCAGGATTCAGTTGATAAACCGCTCTTATGAAACAGGGCTCCACCTCTCAGAAACATGAACAGGCGACCATAAAGGAAAGTATCCTCCTGGCTAGCCACAAGGCACAGCAATAAGAAATGACTGTGAAAGCCCACCGCCTTAACATGCACATAGTGTCACAGCTTTCTGCCTCTCCAGCCAGACCTGTCAATGGAGACTGTGGTTGAGCTTGGGCAGGGGCCTGGCTAGGGCCAGCCTGGCCAGAGGGGCTGTGGCTCACCAGCCCTCAACTGATGGAAAAGAGGCCCAGGCCTTAAAGAGTTTAGAGTCCAGGGAGGCAATATGACAAAGGAGGCATAAACACAGGGAAAAAGTGTGGTGCCATTGTGGAGGCAGGCAGTGGCGGTCAGGAAATGTTCCATGGAGGAGGTGATGATTGAGAAGATCTAAGAACATGGGCAGGACTTTAACGGACCCTGTGGGGGAGGTAAATAAACTCAATGTTCTGGTCTAAGGAGCAGCCTGAGCAAGGTATGGAAGTGAAAAAAATACAAGATGTGTTCGGGAAATCACAAAATTCTGCTTGGCTGGACAACAGGATACACGTAGAGTCCAGCCTAGGGTGGAAAAGTGAACAGGACTGTAACACGGAATCTGAATGCCAGATGGAGAGCTGTGCATTTACTTCGCTTGGCAACAGAGAGGCATTGAAGCTTCTCAGCAAGGACATTACAGGACTGGAATTTACTTCAAAGGACAGTGACAGTTCCACATGGATAAACTGAAATAGGAAGGAACTAGAAGTTAAGAGCCCCTCAGGACCCATGGCAACTGGAAGACTGAACTAGGTAATGATAGTAGGCATGACAAGACTCAGAGACATTGTGGAGAGTGGGTTTTTAGTCCAAAACAACTGGCTGGCTAATAGGGGCATGAGGTATGGTCAATGCCTTTAAGATGTACCACCTGGGCACCAAGAAGACAAGAGTGTCATGAATAAAAACAGGCTGTAAAGAAGAAACATTAGCTTATTGGGGGAATGATGAGTTTAGTTTCAGGCCCTTTAAATTTGAGGTGTCAACTGAACACACAGATAGACATGTCTATCTAGTGGTTAGAGAAGCAGATCTGTAAGCAGGGAGAAATGCTGAGATTAGAAATGGGGATCTGGGTGTCATCCACAAACAGGCAATGCCACAAAAGTGTCTAGGGATGTTATCACAGGAAGCACAATTTAGCATAATTTAATGGGTTGAAAAAAGGAAGGAGTAGCAGTGAAGGAGACAAGGAAGGATCTAAAAACTCCAAGTTATGGAAGAAAAAAGCTATATTATAAAACACATGATAGACATACTATCATGAGGATCAGATGGGATGGTAAAGTGAAAAGCAGTTTGAATATTTTAAAGTACTGAACAAATACATATCTGTTATTGTTACAGTATTGCATATTTAATCTCTAGAAAAGCCAGGCTTTCCATAATCTTCCAAAGCTCCTTCTCCACCAAGTCAAATGGAAATGTGATCTCCCACTCTCTTGAACTCTTATAGCACTTAATAAGTATTTTCTCAAGGAGCACTAACTAAGCATCAACCATGGGCCAAGCACTACAGTAGGGCCTTTCTCATCTACCTCCCCACTTGGAGTAGATGAAACTGAAACTTAGATTTATTCCTCTTCACAGAAGATGAAATGAAGCTCAAAAACGTTAACTTAAGCCAAGATTGCCAGCCAATAAGTGAAGGAACAGGGGGCTTCTGATGCCATGTATTAATATGCCTTTTCTATTAATCCACAAGTCACAACTTGCCATATTTGTTCTGATCCCTCTTACTTTGAGGAAATTAAGGAGATGAGCCACATTTCATTTATGCTGACAGCCTCTGAAGCACCTAGCAAAGGGCCTCACATGTGGTTGATTCTCATTGGGTTTCTGTTGCCTGAAAGAACAAACATGCATATTGCAGGTACACAGGCCTCAATAATAGTGAGCGTTCGTGGGCTGGGAAGTTTTGAGTACTCATTTCCAAGGCAGATGTAACTTAACAAAAAGTTCTAAAAACAAATTCTGTACTTGTGAAAGATGCCACCTGGTCTGCCTCAGGGCTGAAGTCCTCTTTTTATGCACAGAGTGGGAACAGCACAGGGAATGAGGAAGCTGGTTGTCTTTAAACCACTCCCACAAAGTGGCTCAAGCCAAGAAAAGGGCCCACACCTTTCGTGGAAGAGTGCTATGCAGACTCTCATGCCCATTTAACCTTTGGGTTCACTACAACAACTGCCAACAGTCTGGGGAAGAGGGAAAGGTAGAGCATGTTTCACGCCAGCTCTGATGATGTAACCTTAAAACTCACAGCTTTTCTGCCAGGGGAAAAAAAAGCAACTGGTTTAGAAACTATTTTTTCCCCTTTTCTAATATTCAACCAAAATCTAATTTGCATCATTGACTACTAGCTTTTTTTTTTTTTTTTTGCATAACTCACCATTGACTTTTTTTTTTTTTTAATTAACAGAACTTACTCGTGTCTAATTCAACGGATTGGTTTTGGTTCCTTGGAAGACAAATGTATAGGGCCAGAAATATGTTTATTTCATAAATGTCCCTTGTGCAAGAACACAAAGTTCTTCTCAGAAGCATTTACTCTGCAAGTCATAGAAATGCGCAGTGGGAGACCGGTAAACAATATGCATCTAAGCATCGTAAGGGCGTGCAGCCACGTGCGGCAGGGCTGCCAGGGACACCAGACAACTATTCCACGACCCTGGGCAAACAGACTTCAGAAGTGGGATCACATTTCAGAGCTTCATCAAATTAGAACACATCTCAGAGTCTTCTACCAATGAATCTGACTGATGTTCTCTTTTGTCAGGATTGTCTAATTTGTAGTCTTTTTAGGGTACAACAAATCAATATTTTTTCCTACATATGATGACAAGACCCAAAAGTAGCCCTTTTCTTTTCCAATTGCTGGGAGTAGTTAACGTGAGTATAATATCTTTGCCTCCTGCATGGACAAGCTGGGACAGAGGAACAGTCAGACTGGAATGGGGTTCCTCCCAGGCCCACGATATCTCTCTATGCCCATGGAGGAGATGGTGGGAATGCAAGCCTTCTCTTGGTAATTTTTACCCAGTGTGGATGGGGCTATTGGTCTCTCCTGAGCCTCTCCCTGTCAAATGCACTGCATGGGGCTTGGGACTTCCTAGAAAGAGCCATAGCAGAAACCAAAAGGAGTACAAGCCTCAGCTAGGGCAAGAGTTTGACGTTGGCTTTGGGCGGGTCCACATGGGATGCTTTTCCCATGACTCCTGAAAGAACTCTCCAAGTCTGAATCGATAATCAATGCTTGGATAGCTCAAAGTTGACAAGATAGTATAAAACACAGAAAATAAATGAGAGCTTAGCACAGTCAGTTCTCAAAACCTATCCCATGACTACAGCCTTCTTGAAATGGCATGTCTGTTCTATGCTCTGAACTCTGGAAGAATTAACCACAAGTATTAATAACTTTAGCAAATATCTAAGCCCTTATAGAAGTCATACCCCAAGTTTACTTCTTTTATGTTAATCTTTCTCTAAAACCTCATTTTGAAAACTTCTACTTAAAGATATAAGAATGTTTGGTAGTTTGTTTTGGTATTATAAACGTAGTTCTACCAAGTGAATTTGTAGCAACCAGGAAAAGTATAAGACCTTTCAGTGAGGCATTTTCCAATATTTTGGTGAGAACTACTTATTCACCTAGAAGACTGCCAATTAGGCAATTGATAACTGTGTATTGCATTTATGCACGGCATTAAAAAAAAGACTTGTTCCTCAACTCAATAAGTAGCTTGCAATTCAGCAAAAGATTTTTAAAAATCCTTATCACCAATTAAAGCTATGATGGGTAGATTATAATATAAATATAGATTATAAGATTAATATAAATTCAGTGTTACAAAGAGCTCTGGGGAAGGCTAGACTAATTGTCCTCAGGGAAAATGGTTGGTAGAGATGGTATTTGAATAAGGCCTTAGAAAAAGTATAGTATTTCAACAGGAAGAGGGGTTAGAGAAGGGCCTTGTACATGGAAGGAGCAGCTTTAGCAAAAGCACAGAGGCAAGAGAGTGCTGGCAATGTAAGAAAACTTCAAGTGCTCAGGTCTGGCTGAAGGAAACAGTATATGAGGGGAAGCAACCGAAAAATGATCTAAAAGGGTATGCTGTGGAGAGCTCTTAACGTAAGAAAGAAGAAGAGGCCAGGCGTGGTGGCTCACGCCTGTAATCTCAGCACTTTGGGAGGCCGAGGTGGGTGGATCACGAGGTCAGGAGTTTGAGACCATCCTGGCTAACATGGTGAAACCCCGTCTCTACTAAAAATACAAAAAATTAGCCGGGCGTGGTGGCGGGCGCCTGTAGTCCCAGCTACTCGGGAGGCTGAGGCAGGAGAATGGCGTGAACCCGGGAGGCGGAGCTTGCAGTGAGCGGAGATGGTGCCACTGCACTCCAGCCTGGGGGACGGAACGAGATTCCGTCTCAAAAAAAAAAAAAAGAAGAAGAAGAAAGAAAAAAAAGGGAGGAAGGACATGAGAGAGCTGGACTTTGGAGATTGGAAAAATGACTTTTAAAATATACCCTTCCCTAATCATTTCCCACACGTTAGATTTTTAGAGTGAGACTATTTCATTAGCAAGTTTATTTGCAAATTAGGTGTAGTAACTTCCAAGAAAAACAACCTAGCTGCTGGAACAAATGTTTTTCTGAGCTGGCAAATTATTGCCTGCAGCTTAACTAATATATTCATATTGCCCACATCTTGCGA